>NC_000010.11:6070606-6222121 GCF_000001405.40 Homo sapiens | reverse complement strand
GGAGGCAACAGCGTCCTCAGCCACAGCCACCCGGGCACCGTGCACGGGGAAGCACAGACGCTGCCCAGGGGATATAGAGCCACCCCTCCTGCCAGCCTGCCCACCACCCTGCCCAGTGGACCTTCACACACCACCTTCCTCCTCTCCCATATAGTTCTATGTCCCTAGGGAAACACATCTCACTTCTGCTTATGGGAAAATGCACTTCACCCCAGGCTGTTAGAAGGTTCAGTTTGGGGGGACTCAGTTCCAAGGTGGAGGGTGTAGGAGCCCCCAGAACCCACACGGAAGTGAACTCCCTGGAGGGGTGGCCCAGCCCTGCACAGCAGTGGTCATGTGTGCTGGGGACCGTCAGCCCGCCCCAGCCTGCGCTCACCTCCCCGGTGGGGTAGCGGTAATAGTACTTGTCCTGCTCCCGCAGCGCATACTCCTCAGGGTAGGTGTCCCTGATCTCCTCGTAGGTCAGCTCCTCACAGACGCCCTGCGGGGACCCAGTGGTCACTCAGGGGAACAAACCACAGGGGTGTCTAGGGCCTCTTGGGAAGCCGCCCCATGCCCGAGGGTGAGGCTGCCTGCCCGCCTCCCAGGACTCACCGCGTCGATCTCATTGAGCGCCTTCCACTGCTCGTAGGGCAGCCGCAGCGCCTCGGCCGTCTGGATGGTGCTCTTCAGCTGGCTGGTCCACACGCGCAGGTCCTTCAGGTTCTGCTCCTCCACGAACTTGCTCAGAGCACTGGCAAACTGAGAGGTGGTGGAGGGGGACCACTGATTCCAGATGCCCGCAGCTCCTCCAAGAGCCAGGGCTGGAGCAGGCAGCCCACGTAGGGCTGTGCACTACCTGGTTACACCGTGGGGGCCCCAGGCCACTGGGACAGCCACAGCCGCACACACCCTACCCAGAGACCAGGCTCAGCTCTTCCTGCCCCTTCCCTTCCTAGTGCACAACCGCGCACACATCACACACATGCACAGAGATACACACACCAGAGACACACATACAAACACATACAAAGTAACACAAAGACACACACACACAAAGCCACATGGATAGGCGTAGACACACACACACACAGAGCCATACAGAGATGCACACAGATATGCATAGAGACGTGCAGGCGCACACACAGATAACACACACAGCAAGCACACCAAGCAGCAGCAGCAGCAGCAGCAGCAGCACACAGCTCCCCACCCACCCTATAGACCCTGCAACCGCCCTACAGCCAGAACGGCCCATGCGGCAGCACACCCCGCACCTTCTTGCCCCGGCTGGACAGGCCTGAGTCGCCCCCGATGCGGCCCTGGAGGTTGTGCTCGTTCTCGCCGTGCCGGCACAGGTAGATGGTACGCGGCTGCACGTGGATGTTCATCAGGTAGTACACGATGCGGCTCTGGATGTGGTCCTGCACCCGGTTCACCAGGAACCTCCGGCCCACGTCAATCACCTTGATCAGCGACAAGTCCCTGCAGAGAGACCCCACCGAGAACCACAGCTCAGGCCACCACCCACAGCAGGATGCACCTGGCCCGTCTCCGAAGATGTGATCCCCAGAGAACAGCAAGGCGGGACCGTAGGCCCCTCCAGGGCACAGACTGAATCCTTCTAAGGGGCAGAGCATATGCGTAAGACAACTCCCACAGCTGGTGTCTGGCTGTGAGGCTGGCCTGCCTCCCAGAAAAGGGGGAGAAAAAAGAAAGAAAATGGAGAAAAAAAGAAAGGGGCCTGTGCAGTGGCTCATGCCTGTAATCCCAGCACTTTGGGAGGCCGAGGCAAGAGGATTGCTTGAGTCTAGAAGTTCAAGACCAGCCTGGGCAACATAGCAAGACCTCATCTCTACTAAAGAAAAAAAAAATTAGCTGGGCGTGGACACCCACACCTGTAGTCCCAGTTACTCATGAGGCTGAGGCGGTAGGATTACTTGAGCCCAGAAGTTTGAACCTGCAGTGAGCTATGATCATGCCACTGCACTCTAGCCTGGGAGACAAAGGGAGACCCTGTCTCTAAGCAAGCAGGCAAGCAAGTAAGTAAGTAAATAAATAAATAAATAAATGGAAAGAAAGGAAAGAAAAAAGAAAGGAACTATCGGAGGGACAGTAGCAAAATCAGGCTCAACTCTATGTTGACTTCCTGTACTTCTACACAGTGTTCAAAATATTCCCACTGAATATGATTTGTCATCAAGGATTGTTTTTAAAAGATATTTTCAAAGAGAGTTGATAAAGGTATCCAGCGGCTGTATGTGGATCACCTGAGGCCAGGAGCTCAAGACCAGCCCGGGCAACATAGCGAGACCTCATCTCTACAAAAAAAACTGTCTTAAAAAAATTTTTTTAAAGGTATCCAGGAGCAAATCCTTTGTGGGAACATCAAGAATTCAGTAAGAACCCTCATGTGGGTCTTGCAGAGACGGCCAGCCACGGGAATCACCTGTCGCATTTGTCGGGGTCGAGGGGCTGGTAGCTGGCTTCATAGCAACTGATCCTCTTCATGAAGTCGTCCATGGCTTCTGCCGAGTTGCAGTCTTTGTAATCCGGGCTGGAGATTTTAACTTCCTGCAACACCACAAAGGGGTGGCTGATAAATCACGCTGGAAGGCTTTCTGCTGAGATTAAGCAGGATTTGGGGCTTTCAAAAGGGGAGCGCACAGAAGGCTCAGTATAAAGATTATCCGGCCCAGCGTGTAAGAGAAAGGGAGAAAGATGCTGGGGGCTGAGTCACAGCCTGATGTTACATGGGGAGGATTCCCTGGGGAGATGGAGAACTGAAGCCGGAAGGACAGAGACAGGAAACCCACAGGGATTCCATAATGAACACCTCTGAATGCTCCAGCAAGTCAGGATCTGTCCCGTGCCCGAGTCACCGCCAGACAGCCTGGCGCTGAACTCAACCGAGCTCCACGTGAGGATCCGCAATGCTCCCCGTGCCGGGAGGAGGCTGCTGGTTCTAAGGTATGCTCAGGAGTTCCCAGAGATGCCTCTGGCCTTGTGTGGTTTCTCCTCCACCCCCCACTGCCTGAGGCAGCCCCAGTGTGACCAGTCCGTGGTTAACTGCTTCTCCAACTAGGGCTGTGCCGGCTCCTTTGCAGGGCTCGCTCTCCTAGGCAACAACACAGGTCTACCAACACCCACAGTGGCACAGGCCCCAGAAACCAGGTGGATTTTAGGGAAACTCAGCATTTCTGAATGCCTGGGCTCTTTTTCTCATCAACCACTGCCGTCACTGAGAGGCAGCCACTCTTCAAAGATCGAGTCAGTCGGGAGCTGTGCCTGTGTCCTGGCACAGTTTCAGCCGGGGAAGATGAGAAAGTCCTGCGGATAGAGTGTGGCGGTTGCCCAACAATGGGAATATAATTTGCTGCTGTACTGCACACTTAAAAAATAGCTAAAATGGCCGGATGCAGTGGCTCACGCCTGTAATCCCAGCACTTTGGGAGGCCAAGGCAAGCAGATCACTTGAGGTCAGGAGTTTGAGACCAGCCTGGCCAACACAGTGAAACCCCCGTCTCCTCTAAAAATACAAAAAAAATTAGCTGGGCGTGGTGGCGCACACCTGTAATCCCAGCTATTCGGGAGGCTGAGGCAGGAGAATCGCTTGAACCCGGGAGGCAGAGGTTGCAGTGAGCCAAGACCGTGTCACTGCATTCCAGCCTGGGCAACAGAAGGAGAGTCCGTTTCAATAAATAAATAAATAAATAAATAAATAAATAAATAATAAAAATGATTAAGATGGTAAATTTTACATTATGTATATTTTACCACAATTTAAAAAAAAAATCTAAGTTCACAAATGCCTGGCTCTACCAAGCTGCTTTGAGATTTCATCAGAAAGAGATTTCTGAACATGGTGGGTTGGGGCAAATGATTATCTGCTAGTGGACAACCAGACAAATGCTAAACTCCTTGCTAAGCACATTGGTGACCACTCACTGGGAAAAATGACTTCACAGCTGCACCCTGCTGTCTACCAAGGGGAACAACGAGTGCCCAGCCAAAGAAAGGTGGCAAACCCTCATACTCTGAGCCTCCTGCTCCCACTGGACAAATCTAAACTGACTTTTCACAATTCAAATAGCCCTTCCTGAAACAGGAATTCATTTCCTAAAGATATCTAGAAATACTTCCACCACCTTGGGGAAGATACCGGGGCTAACACATGCTTAGCATCCCCTCTAAAGGTGCAAAGATGCCAGCACCACAGCGTCCCAGTGTTAAGTTTTCAGAACTGCTTTTCTTTATAGAATTGTCATATTCTGATATGTTTAAGCTGAAGAGGAAATTATCTCCAACACAGGGTGGCAGCTTGTAGTAAGTCTCCATAGTAACCATTCCTGTTTATATATATTGCTATCAAGTGGTAACACTGGAGAAATTCATCAAGTTATGATGCCAAGTGCCCTCAATTTATCTGGGCAAGCTCCCCTGCACAGCACAGACAGGAGGGTTTGTGGCAGGTTCACGAGATGCATCAGCAGGAGGAGAGTCTTACCTCCCAAACTCAGGAGGCTGCTGAGCCCTATGGACTTTTGCCAATGCCCAAGCATTCTTACCTCCTGGAGCTGTAGCAAGTGATCCACTTGCTGCCACCTGTCCCATTAGGGGCAGTGAGCGGCCCTCTGCCCCAGCAGCTCCATCACCACTAGCTGTCAGGCTCCTGCCACCAACAGAAACTAATCCTATCTCCCTGAATTATTTCCTACGTCCCATCCAAGCCTGCCCACTGCCCTGGATGGAGCTAGTCCCTCACAGGACAGGCCTCTGGGTTAAAAACCGCTCTGTAGGTCTGACCTCCCAATCAACAGCCAGCTGGGGGCTGCTCATCCTAAGGGCTCAGCTGCGCTTCCGAGCCGGACCCGGTCCCCCACTTCCTCAGACTGCAAATGCCCTTGTGGTCTACGCTGCCGCAGAAGCACGGGGCTCCCGGCTGTCTTACCATGATATTGGAGGCCACAACTGTAGGGTCGTCGCACACCGACTCGATGAAAAACGCCTGGTGGAAGTGAGGTGGGGATGTTAGAAAACAAACACCACGAAGGATCAACCTTGCCATCACTGCGATGTCATCACCCGGACAAGGCGGAAGCACGCCACCCACCAACTCCCAAACACAGGAAAGCCCACCTCCTCACTGCAGCCTCTGGAACGCCCCATGGCCCCCAAGAGCCCTACCACACAAAGGCCCAAATTTAAGGCCACAAAACGTGGGCAGCAGGAGGGGAGGGACCGAGCAGGACTAAGGAACATGGGCAGCAGGAGGGGAAGGACCAAGCAGGACTCAGGCCGCTTCCTGAAGCCTTTTCCTCTCTCCCGAGCCCTCTAGCACAACACAAGACGCTCAGCTCACCTTAAAGTCATTTTCTTTGGCAAAATGAAGGATCATGTGTCTCCTCTCTCTAGTAGTATTGGTGGCATCGAAAACCTGATATGGAGAGCAAAGGGCCAGGAAGAAAACTCTAAGTTTGAGTTTAACAACGTTTACCAGAACAGCAAAGATGCCAGACCCATCATCTCCAGGAATAAGCCCCAAAAGTGCTTCAGGGGAGCTTGTGCCTGCCCACAGTCCTCTCCAGGGAGTGCTTAGGAGGCAGGCCTCCCGCAACTACCAACAGCACTCAGGGGTGGTAGCGTGGGGGAAATACCCCAAAAGCAAACAAGCAAAACAGTAATGTGCAATGGGACAGTGTACAAGGAAGGGCCAGTGGTCCTGTGGGTAACTCGAGTCCTGCCCGCCCTGGAGGTGTGGGACTGGCCACAGAGGGGGTGGGTCCCTGAGTCCACCCCACATCCTCCTTCCTGAGCCATTGGGCTGCCCTGGCCACCTGCTTTCCTCCACCCTCAGGGCCAGAGGCACAGGTCTCGGTACACCCCAGGCCGGTGAGGACACCCTCATGGGTGGGACTGGACACCGAGCCGGCTACATTGCCTGGACTTACCGCAATTTGTCCCCCTTCTTTCGCCAGGTAGCTTTTGACATCTCTCAAGGCAGCTAAGGCACATTGCCTGGAATGCACAAGACATTGCCCGAATGTCAGCGCCGGTGCATCCGCTGGGGCAGCCCAAGCAACTCCCGACACGCCCCGACAAGCAGAGTAACTGGTGGTTCCATTCTACACTGCTTAGCGCTGGGCAGGCTGGCCAGCACCCCTCAGGCCCAGAGGCTTCCAACCTGGGGCCCCACACGGGTGGCCTCAGGAACCCTCGGGAGGCGGTGCTCAAACCGGGCTGCACGCGGGAACCACTCCTGGGGAGCTGCTAAGAAATGGCTGCCCAGAGCCACCCACAGAGTTGCACTAACTGGTCTGGGGTGGGGCCTGGCATCAGGGATTTTAGCATCCCCCAGGAGACTCCAGCATACAGCCGGGGCTGAACACCCTTGCACTAGGGTTTCACAATCAACTCGCACTTAACAAGAAATCCTTTCCAAACATAAACAGACACTCCCGATGAACAGGACTTGCTAATTCTCAGTGAGGGTGCTTCTGCGGCTCTGTCCCAGTGAGGGTCAGCTCAGCGAGACCCTCAGGGGACAGATGAGAGCAGCAACCTTGTTCCCACACTGCACAGCCCTGAAGCCACCAGCAGGACCCACCCGCAGGCCGGCTTTCTCTGCCTCCTACAGAGCCTGGCTCAGAACAAAGCAAGCCCAAGCCCGCAGCCCAGCCTTACACCCGCAGCCCCGCAGCCCAGCCTTATTCCCACAGCCCAGCCCTACGCCCGCGGCCCAGCCTTACTCCTGCAGCCCAGCCTTATGCCCGCGGCCCAGCCTTATTCCCACAGCCCAGCCCTACGCCCGCGGCCCAGCCTTACTTCCGGACTTTCATGGCTTCCTCATTGTCGGGGCGGAAGAAGTTGTAGGAGCTGTACTGCTTCACAGCCTCCCGGCGATACTCCCCGACGTTGAACACTGTGGACGGGAAAGAGAACAGTCTGGATGATCGAGCAGGAGGAAGGGGCCAGCTCACACCGGGACCATAGGATCGACCAAAGGAAGAGCCACCAGGCCAACCACACCGACTTGAATGAGATGGTGTGGAAGCAATGCCGGCGCCCAGTCCTACGCTACCCTCAACTCCTGAGGACAGCAGGGCACAGGCTGCCCGGCTTCCCCAGTCCAGCTGCAATGCCCCTGCCGCATGCTCTGCGACACTGTCCCCTCCAGCCAAGTCTACAATCTCAGTCCCACAATATCCTAAACCAGAGACTGAGACTGTGAGGATGGGTGGGGGGAGGCCCCAAGTCTAGCAAAAATAGGGACAACACATTTCCACCAATGGTATCAGAAAGCGAGTGGGGCCTCATGCCCACCGCCAGATCTAGGTCAACCCTTCTGCTGGTGCAGCCGCCAGGGCCAGGGCCGGAGACATGTGTCCCATGGTTCCTGGGCACTGAGCTGGGCACAGCGGGGATGGTAAACATAAAAACCATCCTTTCAAAAGAGGGGAGGGTGGGAGATGAGCAAGGGTTAAAAAATAACCAGTTGGGTACAATGTTCACTATCTGGGTAACAGGTTCACTAGAAGCCCAATCCCCAATCAATATGCAATATACTCAGGTAACAAACATGCACATGTACCCGAATCTAAAATAAAATTAATTGAAAAAAAAAAAATACCCAGTGCCTATCCACAAGATGTTCCCCATCTAGTTGGGAAGACCAAGCAGAGATTCTTAAATGTGTCATCCACAACAGCAGTCCCCATCCTTTTTGGCACCAGGGACCACTTTCGTGGAAGACAATTTTGCCACGGACAGGGAGGGGTTGTGGGTGTACGGCTTTGGGATGAAACTGTTCCACCTCAGATCATCAGGCATTAGATTATCATAAGGAGCACACAACCTAGATCCATCACATGCCCAGTTCACAATAGGGTTCACTCCCATGGGAATCTAATGCCACCACTGATCAGACTGGAGGCGGAGCTCAGGCAGGAATGCGCACTCACTGCCACTCACCTCCTGCAGCCAGGTTCCTAACAGGCCACCCAACATAGCAGTCCACAGCCTGGGGGTTGAAGACCCTTGATCTACGGTAGGCAGTGCTTAGGGCTATCAGCAGAGGAATGTTAGCTAGGACTGAGTGCGACAGGAATGTAAAGGACTGAGGTGGCTGGAGATGGCTTTGAAGGAGGTGAAATCTGAGTCGGGGCAGGACTTAGAGGAGTGGGAAAGAGAATGGCCAGTGAGGAGAAAACCCCAACAGAAGAAAAAGGGTGTAGACACAGTGTGAAGGGGACCCAGCTGCATGGGAGGCAGGATCAGACTCCCCGACCAGGGGACAGAGGCGCCCAGGGGTGGTCCTGCCTGTGAAACCAGCAACTGAGATGGAAGGTCAAGTTTTTGCACGAGCAGGGGTCCGGCCTCGAGACCCAGTCTCACCTTTTGTGGGGACGCCAATCCAGTTGAGGTAGCGAGTCAGCTTCTTGGAGATGTAGGTCTTGCCCCGGGCGGGGAGGCCCACCATGACGATGACGGTGGGGGAGTTGGTCAGCTTTGGCCCACAGGCTGGAAAAACAAGCAAGAAGGGTGTGTCATCAACCAAGTGACCGGAGAAGAGGAGCAGAGGCCACACCCAACAATAACACTGAAGAATTTCACCAAAAATGTTTTTGAGACAGGGTCTCACTCTGTTGCCCAGGCGGGAGCACGGTGGCCACCATGATTACTGCAGCCTCAAACCTCTAGACTTAAACAATCCTCCGGCCTTAGCCTCCCCAATAGCTGGGACTACAAGTGTGTACACCACCATCCCTGGCTAATTTTTTATCTTTGTAGAGATGGGGTCTCGCTGTGTTGCCCAGGCTGGTCTCGAAGTCCTGGTCTCAAACAATCCTCCCAGAGTGCTGGGATTACAGGCATAGCTACCACACCCAGCATTCATCGAAATTTTCATTTCATCTCCCCATCCTGAAGCCCCTGGCATTGTACCACAGTGGGACCAGGCAACCCTAGTGGCCACAGCCCCCCAGCCACACCCTGTCCCTCAGTCCTGCCTTTAGGTTCTACTTGGCAAAGACAGTCCCAACCCCAAATTCCTGAGCTGATACCCAGGGCGCTAAACCTAGCAGGGAACCAGTGACTGACACCACAGTGAAAGTGGAAATGCTCCTGCGGGTGGGAGGAAAGGATTCCTCTCCCGAGGGAGAGTGGGGCTAAGAGTCAAGAGGGTGGATTCCAATACAACATGGGGACAGAGGGGCAGGGGCTGGGGCCCAGGGGTCAAGAGACAGAGAGGCCCACCATCAATATCCAAACCTCCACACAGAGGTATGGGCAGAGTTTCTAAAAAAAATCTTTAAAAAGGCAATTTTTAAAAGTAGGAGTTTACAGCCAGGCGCGGTGGTTCATGCCTGTGATCCCAGCCCTTTGGGAGGCCGAGGCAAGAGGATCACTTGAGACCATGAGTTTGAGACCAGCCTGGGCAACATAGCAAGGCCCTGCCTCTACAAACAAATAAATTAAAAAATAATTAGAAGAAAAGAGTTTATCAAATGAAAGTAGGTCAGGGAGGCAGAATGCTAAAATTACCCCAGTGGACAGGTAAATCCTCCACCCGAGCCTCTCACGCCCTGTCTGACCCCCTCTTCTGGTGCCAGGCTCGGATGAATGCTGGGGCCCTGCCGAGGGAAGGGCCGGTCACGAAGCCTCAGCCAGGGGCCGGCTCCACCACTGTCTCCAGGAAACCTGGAGATGCTCTTGCCTGCCAGCTCCCTCCTGGCTTCCGCTGCTACATGACGGTCTTGGCATCTCAGTAAGACAAAACAGCAGGAAGGGGGGTTTTGCTGGGTTTTTCAGAAAGCAGCCAGAAGCCCCCTGTTCTGGGAGCCGAGGGCCCAGTATCTCCCCGGCTGTCGCCTGGCCCTGGGAGTCTCAGGCAACTCCCGCATCCTGCCGACATGCAAGCTCCAGGGCCAGATGATACCCGCCAGCTCCCGCCTGGGCGGCACGGCCCAGCACTCACTGCCACGTGGTTAGCCTGGCTGTCCTCATCATTCCCAGACACAGCCCACATGGCCTGCAGGAAAACCTCTGAAAGCCGCACACAGAACCAGGCAGATGTCAGACTGGACAGAGGCCCTGATGTCCGAGCTGAGCAGGCTTATGCTGCGGGAGCCACCACCCCTCAGACGGGCCGCAGCTCAGGAAAGAAGCCCCTCTGTAAGCCGGAGCCCCCAGCAGGGCTCCAAACTGAAGTCAATGTCCAGGATCTGCCGCTAGGCCTGGAGGTGGGGGCAGGGAAGCAGGCATGGCATGCCGGGCCTTTGTCCCCTCCATGCTATTTGGAGACCATTAGTGGCCTTCTCAGCAGGCAGAGTAAGGAGACAGACAGGCTATCAGCAGATGAGGAGACGCTAAAAGCCCTGGGCTGCCATGCTCTTGATGTCCAGTGACCTAGAACAAACAGTTCCTCGAAAACAGATGCTTTTCACTGCCCAGGGTGAGCCGGGCATCCTGAGCACATGAGTGGAACAAACAAGCACAAAGCACCAAGCACCCAGGGGCTTTCTTGTGTCCCCAGGGGCACACGGAGAGATGGTGGCCTCCCCGAAAGCCAGTGAGGCACACCCCACCGTGCCCAGGGTCATTCTGGCAGCTGTAGCTGCCATATCAGGAAAGTAGCAGCAACTCCTTGGAAACAATACCCATCCACTGACCCTTCCCCTAGGCCAAGGGTCCCTCCTGGTCTTACCAGGTGTCCCCACTGCACCGCTGCTCCTAAGAGCACCCAGATATGCAGAGACAGACGCACACACATACTCTCAGCTGTGCACATACGCAGAATATTTCTGTCGGAACCACGCCAAGGAAGCAGAGGCTGATTGATTTATCCAACAGGGGATTATGTCTACCCACTAATCATAGGAACAAATGTCCTCTGGCAGTAGACATTTAGGGAGGGAAAATAACAATAACAACAATAAAGACAGCAGAGTAAATACACAGGGCAAAAGGTCAGACTGGATTTCAAACCCAAATAAACTGCCAGTCCCTTCTTGGCAAAGCAGAGCCATTCTCCCTATGCACTGCTCTGTCGCATAGTAAGATTCAAAGAGAGGGGCGCTATAACTGGGGATATAGCTCAGGGGTAGAGCATTTGACTGCAGAACAAGAGAGGGGCGCACCGGGCACGGTGGCTCACGCCTGTAATCCCAGCCCTCTGGGAGGCCGAGGCGGGTGGATCATGAGGTCAGGAGATCAAGACTATCCTGGCTAACACGGCGAAACCCCGTCTATTAAAAACACTATCAAGACTATCCTGGCTAACATGGCGAAACCCCGTCTATTAAAAACACTATCAAGACTATCCTGGCTAACATGGCGAAACCCCGTCTATTAAAAACACTATCAAGACTATCCTGGCTAACATGGCGAAACCCCGTCTATTAAAAACACTATCAAGACTATCCTGGCTAACATGGCGAAACCCCGTCTATTAAAAACACTATCAAGACTATCCTGGCTAACATGGCGAAACCCCGTCTATTAAAAACACTATCAAGACTATCCTGGCTAACATGGCGAAACCCCGTCTATTAAAAACACTATCAAGACTATCCTGGCTAACATGGCGAAACCCCGTCTATTAAAAACACAAAAAATTAGCCGGCCATGTTGGCGGGCGCCTGTAGTCCCAGCTACTCGGGAGGCTGAGGCAGGAGAATGGCGTGAACCCGGGAGGCGGAGCTTGCAGTGAGCCGAGATAGCGCCACTGCACTCCAGCCTGGGTGACAGAGCGAAACTTCGTCTCAAAAAAAAAAAAAACAAAAAAACAAAAAAAAACAAAAAAAAACAAAGAGAGGGGCGCCTGAGGTGTTTGCACCTGTCCCTCCCTTCAGACACCCACCACTGTCTTGGACAGATGGGGTAATCACAAATCCTTACTAAATCTTTTTGTCTTATTCTCCAACCTCAGCCCCTTTTAAAAACTCACAGCACATCTCATGTTTCTAATTCTGTGACCCTCAGTTTCTTCTTCTCTTCTCAATGGGCCTTTTTACCACCAAAAAAGAGACACCCCCCACCCGCCTCATCACCCTCCCTGGCAAGGCACAGTGATTAGAAAAGATAAGTATTAGGCCGGGCACGGTGGCTCACGCCTGTAATCCCAGCACTTTGGGAGGCCGAGGCGGGCGGATCACAAGGTCAGGAGATCGAGACCACAGCGAAACCCCATCTCTATTAAAAATACAAAACATTAGCCAGGCGTGATGGCAGGCGCCTGTAGTCCCAGCTACTCAGGAGGCTAAGCCAGGAGAATGGCGTGAACCTGGGAGGCGCAGCTTGCAGTGAGCCAAGGTCACGCCACTGCACTCCAGTCTGGGTGACAGAGTGAGACACCGTCTCAAAAAAAAAAAAAAAAAGAAAAGGTAAGTATTGGCTGGGCATGGTCTCCCAGCACTTTGGGCAGCAGAGGAGGGCAGACCACCTGAGGTCAGGAGTTCGAAACCAGCCTGGTCAACATGGCAAAACCCCGTCTATACTAAAAATACAAAAATTAGCCAGGCGTGGTAGCAGGCACCTGTAATCCCATCTGCTGAGGTAGGAGAATCGCTTGAACCTGGGAGGCAGAGGTTGCAGTGAGCCGAGATTGTACCAATGCACTCCAGCCTGGGAAACAGAGCAAAACTCTGTCTCAAAAAAACAAAAAAAAAATTATTGAGTTTAACACAAGATTTTCCAAAGAGTATTTGTGTCTCATTTCATTTTATGTAAATGTTCAATATTTTAACTTCTTTTTCACACACCTAAAGTTTTTGAAAGTTGTGAAACTTAAATGTGTTTAGATGTGGACTTTAGAGGTCAACTGAAACATGCCTGGGGGAACACAGATGTCACCGGGTTACAGGGGAAGGAACAACTGTGTAAAGACCCTGGGTAACAGACTAAACACCCGAATTGAATCTGGGGGACTCGAGCTCAAAGTGTTGTCATGGTTACAACCATGGCCACGTGGGTAAGTCCTCCCAGAAAGTCACCAAGTCCCAGGCACGGAACTTCAATTCTGCAAGGTTGCTACGTTCATGACACGCTCGCTCACTGGGCACATGCACCAGGTACATGCACTGGGTACCCGTGAGACAGAGGCTACTTGGGGGATACAGGGTCAATGTGGCTGAGTAGTGCCTTTGGGCTAAGCCCTGGCTGTCTACAAGCCCGCAGTACCATTAGTGTACAACGGAGACTGCCTACTGGGGCCCGTTCCCTGCAGGCAAACATACACAGGAAGCCAAAAGAAAACTGAAGGCTGGCTGGTGAACACTCAGCCGTGGGATACAGTGACACAAGGAGCCAGTTATGGAAAGCAGCAGCCAGATGGATGGTGAATCCCCCACCTGGACAGTGAGAGGCTGGCACCCCCGGGTTCCTACTCCTGCTCTCCCGGATAGATTAAGTTACTAACCTCTCTGATGGTGTGCAATGCACAGACAGACAGGCAGCAGCCCGCACAGCCTGTATCCCCCACTGACTCAAACCCTAACACAGAATGCATCCCCAGTAAATAAACTGTAGGGGCTACCCAGGGATAAGGCAGGGATTTCTCTAGGACATCACCCACCCAGCTTCCTTAAGCTAGAACACCAGCAGCCGGCGTAACTCGCTACTGAGATGAAAGTCTTTCTATCCGTATTTGAGTGCCACATCAACCTTTCTTCAGACTCAATTTCCCATGGTGTCTAAATCCTGAGCAAAGACAAGCTGGCAGTTTGTCTCATTCCACTGTTTTTAAGAGGCAAAAAAAAAAAAAAAAAAAAAAGGCCAGGTACCCTGGCTTACACCTGTAATCCCAGCACTTTGGGAGGCCAAGGGGGCATTGCTTGAGGCCAGGAATTCGAGACCAGCTTGGGCAACATAGAGAGACCCCGTTTGTGCAAAAATATTTTTAAAAATTAGCTGGGCGCAGTAGCACATGCCCCTAGTCCCAGCTACTCAGGAGGCTGAGACAGGATTGCTTGAGCCCAGGAGTTCAAGGCTTCAATGAGACGTGATTGCACCATTGCACTCCAGCCTGGGTGACAGTGAGACCCTGTCTCAAAAAACAAAGTTTGGTGCTTTAAAAGGCTGTCTTTTACCTGTTGCTTACAAACCTGCACTGGCCTGACCAGTACTAATACCCCCTCCTTTGCTCCACTGATCATGGCAACTTCTGATGTAATGCCAAGTCCCAAGCACCATCTTAGGACTCAGCCCGGTACCCAGGATCCCTCAGAACACACAGGCTCTTGAATTTTAGTGACGATGAACAGAAAGGAAAGCTAGACCTTGCCAGTCAAAAAGGTACTTCTTGACCATTATGCTGACTCACAAATTCAGTAAGTCAGCAGGAGTTACAGGATGCATGCGAAGGAAGCTACAGGTTTTGTAAGAAGCATTTACCATCATGTTGATGTAGCAACAGGGCATCCCGTTAAGGTGCCTCCAAGGCAAGAATATAATGCAGCTTATTGATATAGTAATTTTTGTTTTGTTGTTTTACTGTTCTTTGTCTATAAAAAGCAGGGTCCTAGACACCCTCTTCAGCAATAAACCTCAGGGAGGCTGGGAATGGTAGCACATGCCTGTAACCTCAGCACTTTGGGAGGCCAAGGTGGGAGGATCACTTGAGGCCAGGAGTTCGAGATCAGCCTGAGCAACATAGCAAGACCCCATCTCTATGAAAAAATTTTTTTAAGCTCCAGCTCCCTCTCCCTCTCCCTCTCCCCACGGTCTCCCTCTGATGCCGAGCCAAAGCTGGACTGTACTGCTGCCATCTCGGCTCACTGCAACCTCCCTGCCTGATTCTCCTGCCTCAGCCTGCCGAGTGCCTGCGATTGCAGGAGGCGCCGCCACGCCTGACTGGTTTTCGTATTTTTTTGGTGGAGACGGGGTTTCGCTGTGTTGGCCGGGCTGGTCTCCAGCTCCTAACCGCGAGTGATCCGCCAGCCTCGGCCTCCCGAGGTGCCGGGATTGCAGACGGAGTCTCGTTCACTCAGTGCTCAATGGTGCCCAGGCTGGGGTGCAGTGGCGTGATCTCGGCTCGCTACAACTTCCACCTCCCAGCCGCCTGCCTTGGCCTCCCAAAGTGCCGAGATTGCAGCCTCTGCCCGGCCGCCACCCCATCTGGGAAGTGAGGAGCGTCTCTGCCTGGCCACCCATCGTCTGGGATGTGAGGAGCCCCTCTGCCTGGCTGCCCAGTCTGGAAAGTGAGGAGTGTCTCTGCCTGGCCGCCCATCGTCTGGGATGTGAGGAGCCCCTCTGCCTGGCTGCCCAGTCTGGAAAGTGAGGAGCGTCTCTGCCCGGCCGCCACCCCGTCTGGGAAGTGAGGAGCGTCTCTGCCCGGCCGCCCATCGTCTGGGATGTGAGGACCCCCTCTGCCTGGCTGCCCAGTCTGGAAAGTGAGGAGCGCCTCTTCCTGGCCGCCATCCCATCTAGGCAGTGAGGAGCATCTCTGCCCGGCCGCCCATCGTCTGAGATGTGGGGAGCGTCTCTGCCCCGCCGCCCCATCTGGGATGTGAGGAGCGTCTCCGCCCGGCAGCCACCCCGTCCGGGAGGGAGGTGGGGGGGTCAGCCCCTGCCCGGCCAGCCGCCCCGTCCGGGAGGTGAGGGGCGCCTCTGCCCGGCCGCCCCTACTGGGAAGTGAGGAGCCCCTCTGCCCGGCCACCACCCCGTCTGGGAGGTGTACCCAACAGCTCATTGAGAACGGGCCATGACGACAATGGCGGTTTTGTGGAATAGAAAGGGGGGAAAGGGGCGGGGAAAGATTGAGAAATCGGATGGTTGCTGTGTCTGTGTAGAAAGAAGTAGACATGGGAGACTTTTCATTTTGTTCTGTACTAAGAAAAATTCTTATGCCTTGGGATCCTGTTGATCTATGACCTTACCCCCAACCCTGTGCTCTCTGAAACATGTGCTGTGTCCACTCAGGGTTGGATGGATTAAGGGCGGTGCAAGATGTGCTTTGTTGAACAGATGCTTGAAGGCAGCATGCTCGTTGAGAGTCATCACCACTCCCTAATCTCAAGTACCCAGGGACACAAACACTCTGCCTAGGAAAACCAGAGACCTTTGTTCACTTGTTTATCTGCTGACCTTCCCTCCACTATTGTCCTATGACCCTGCCAAATCCCCCTCTGCGAGAAACACCCAAGAATGATCAATTAAAAAAAAAAAAAAATTTTTTTTAATTAGCCGGGTGTGGTGGTGCACACTTATAGTCCCGGCTACTGGACAGGCTGAGGCGGGAGCATCACTTGAGCCCAAGAGTTGGTGGTTACAGTGAGCTATGGTCGCACCACTGCCCTCCAGCCTGGGTGACAGTGTGAGACTCCACCTCAAAAATGAATAAATAAATAAATAAATAAATAAATAATAAACCTCAGGGAACTCTGCTGCAGACCTCCAATGAGAAGGCCACTTATAAAGGTGGCAACAAGTTTAGGAGAAAGAAAACCCACCCAGCTGGGCGTGGTGGCTCATGCCTATAATCCCAGCACTTTGGGAGGCTGAGGTGGGCGGATCACTTGAGGTCAGGAGTTCAAGACCAGCCTGGCCAACATGGTGAAACCCCGTCTTTACTAAAAATATGAAAATTAGCTGGGCATGGCGGCGTGCGCCTGTAATCCCAGCTTCTCGGGAGACTGAGGCACGAGAATCGCTTGAAACCCGGAGGCAGAAGTTGCAGTGAGCCGAGATCGCACCACTGCACTCCAGCCTCGGTGACAGAGTGAAACGCCATGTCAAAAAAAAAAAAAAAAAAAAAAGGAAGAAAGAAAAACCCACCCAATGTCCCAAATGCCATTAGAGAATCGAGGGAGGGTGTCAGGAAAGATACCAAATAGAAACACCTTCTTCCCTCCATTCCAGTAAGAGTTAAATGTGACTATATAAACTGAGAAAGACACCACCACTTGAAATAAGGATGTGCGATACCCAGGCTGCGGATCTTTTTACAAGAAGGAATGTGTCTGAGACTATACCTCAAAGCCACACAGGAGGATACCAGCAGTAGGCGGGACAAAAGAATTAATCCATTGGCTTTAGCCAAATTCCCACCCTCCAGCTCTGAATGATTCTGACAGGGATTCTTAGGCAAATCTCTCACTGCGTGTGAGACGTGCAGGTTGATGGGGTCTAATGGATCAGGATCCAAGCCTGGAGGGAGGACGCCTTGGTGCACGCTGGAGTTCTCAAGATCACAACTGAGCTGATGCCAACAGATCTCAGAGCCCTGGAAGTCACGGGACACTCCTCTCAGACCCGTGGGCATTCGTATACAATCACATGTATTTACATATGTGGGACTAGCCTCCAATGCAGTTTACAAAGTGCTATAGAGATAATACTTGCTTTATGCAAAAGTTGTTTCTGCATTTGGCCTTGGCCAAACCTCCCTGGGGATTTAAGAGCTGCATTCCACTCCACTTACAGGTTTTACACAAAGACAAGAGAACCATGGGCCACCCCAGTTCAAGCGCATCTGACTGGGCTGGGCAACACACCCACATCCCCCAGTCCTGGGCTACCTCACAAAGAGGGGGAACAAGACCTCTCCTGAGGGCTACCCCAGAACCCTGAAGTCCACCAGGGTGGATCTGCTGACGTCCCCACCCAGGGCACACCATGGGGGTGGGTGTGGGGAGAGGGGCAGGTCTGGACGAGGCCGGTGATTCAGACCGAGCAGGGCTCCAGGAGAGCTGCCAAGTCCCGCGGGGGCCGTCCTAAGAAACGTAGTAGCCGGGCAACCCTGCCTGCCAGCCGCCTGCGCTCAGGCGCCTTCGGATGACCCGAAGCCACCTCGAGAGTTTGCACCTGGATCCCACGGTCACTACTCAGGCTACGACCTGACCTGGGCAAAACCGCACCAGGCGGCTCCCTGTCCAGCCCATGGGAGCCGGGGCGCATTACCTGGAGAGGCAGCGTCGCCCCTCTGCGCTGCCCACCCGCCCTTTTCCGCGGCGGCGCTCCGCAGCTGAGGTGGAGCTCGAGGTAACCCTCTCCCAAGCGATCGCTGGTGGCGGGGGCGGCGACCGGCGGGGCGGGGCAGGGTACTGCCAGCCAATTCCGAGCACCGGGGGGTGCGTGCGCCCGGGGCGCGTGGAGCAGCGCCAACCGTGCACTCACCAACCCACCGACCCTCCCCAAAGCCGGGGACACAGGCGTGGCTCCAGGTGGCTCTCCTGGCGCCCCCAGCACGGGCGCCCCCATGGCACTGGAGATGCACGGAAGAGAGAGAAGGAGAGAGAAAGAGATAAAAGCAGAAAGAAACAGTGGGAGAGGAAGGAGGTAGAAACAGAGAAAAACAGAGACATATATATCGAAAGAGAAAACAGGACAGAGAAATAGGTTATTAAGTGAAGCGAGGGGATAGGAATGCATAGCAAGGCGGGAGAGGAGATGGAAACATGCAGAGAGAGGAGATCCGGACGGTGAAAAGGGGCGGAGGCGCGAGCGGCCGGGTCCCTGGGCTGCGCTCCGGCGACGGCCGCCCGAGACGGGTGTCGAGGACAGGGATCGCGGAGGATGTGGATCCCCTCCCTGGCCTGCCCAGGCGCGCGCGTCCCTCCGTCTCGGGGTACGCAGCCCGGCCGGGCGCACTCGCCGTTTCCGGGCCGGCGGGGCAGCCACCGGGACAAGGGCCACAGCGCCCCCGCCGCCCGGCCAAGGACGCGCAGCCCGCGCCTCCGCCCCGCCCCGCCGGCGCGACCCGCACGGGCGCGCCCCCCGCAGAGGGGCGTCGGCACAAAGCCGCCCCACACAATGGCCCGGCCCGGCGCAGCCCGCCCTGCAACCCGGCTCCGCGCAGCTGCACTCACATCTGGGCAACGAGGGCCTGTGGTCCACGGGCACCCAGATCTTCTGCACTCGGCTCTGCGTCAGTTCCAACGGCATCTTCGCGGCTGCGCCCGACGGCCCGCCTCCCGGGGCCGAGATCCCGACGCTGGCAGGAGAGCGGCCGCCGACCCCCGGAACAAAGGAGGAGAGGGGGGCGTGCGCCGGCGCGCGGCCGGGCGTTTCCTGCGCTGCCAGGGGAAACGTGCTTTGGGCTAAGTTCCGGACCCTCGCCTGTGCGGGGCTCGACGTGTGCTGCGAGGGTAGCGAGGCTGGGGATGCCCGGCACGGCCGGCTCGTCCGCTCGGAAAGCTCTGGGATGCTCGGGCGCAGTGACAGCCGCGCTCTCGCCACCAGGCCCTGCTGCTCGCCTCCTCTCCGGCTTGGCTGGGATGCCCCGCGCACCGCCGGCTTTTAAAGAGTCCGGGCTGGCCGCAGACGCGTACGTCAGCCTCGGGGCGGGCCGCATTCCTTGGGTCCCAGCCCCCTTCCACGTGGGGAGGAGGGTGGGCGAGCCGGGAAGCAGCCTGCGAGCTCCCCCTGCGGGCCGGCGACGGCGGTGCACCAGCTCCCGCCGCCCTGCCCCGGGCCTGGAGCGCGCCCAGCCCTGCTGAAGGGTCCTGGCTGCTGTTATCCCCTCGTCCCGTTGTCCCCTCGGGACGTCTGGCACAGCTTCCCCGACTAATTCCGGCCCCTCACCTCAACTGTGCTGGCCGGGAGGAGAGCAGAGACGCAGTCCTGCCCAGTGTAGACCGTGGACCCCGCAGCCGAATCCCTTGGGAAGCTGCTTAAAGTGCATCCTACCAATGCAGCTCCTTTAGGGCCATGGAGCCCCAATACTCTGCATTCCTAACACGCGCTGTGGGGCAGGCGCAGTCCAGGTAAGGACATGGGCCAGGCTGCTCCCTGATAATACCCGTGAGCCCATCCCCCGCCACGACCCGGGCGACCCGCGGGGAGGAGGCTTCCCTGATCCTCCCACCTCACCTCGTCCTTGTCCACTTTGCTGAATCCCTTAGAAACCTGGACTTGAACTGAGCCTTGCTCCCCTCCCCTAGCCCAAAGACTGGGAACCTTGAGAGGCCCGCGGTGCTGGGTACGAGGAGGGGGCGGGAAAGCCCCGGGGAGCTGGACTGAAGTGGACTGGGGCTGGGGGCAGCTGGCATCTGGTTTTCACACTCACCATGTACACCATTCAATAAACCTTTATCGCCCCGAGTAGAAGAATGAATAAAACTAGACCCATTTCGATCTGCAATTCATTACCTAAGTCGAGGGAAAACTATTGGGGGCGGCCCCTTATTAGGCAGACTCCTAAAATTCACTCCGTTATCCTGCACACCCTGCAGCTCTGCCTCCCCACTTTTTGGTGCATGCGTGCCCCGTCTCCTTTCCCGGCCCTCGCAGTTTGCACCAGCTCGCGACTTGTGACAGTCGTGCAGTCAGGTCAGAGGCGTGCGGGGAAGATCTGGGTTGCTTTTGGTGGGGAACCGCCGCCCGCGCCGGGACGGATGTAACTTTTGCAAACGAAGCCTCAGTACGGGAGCGCTGCGCCGCCTTGCAGAGAGGTGCACACTTAGCGCTGAGGCTGGGCTGTGATTGGAGGGAAGGCGGCGCTCGCTGAAACCTACACCGCGGCGGAAAAGTCTGCGCAGAGGCTGCCACACGTCGCTCACGTCCCGCATGCTCCACAGGGAGGGCGCCCGCGCCCAGGCGGCGACCGGGGCTGCTCCCGCCCCGCGCGCCCGCCCCACCCGGGCCTCCACTCCTCCCGACCCGCCGCCTGCCGAGGGGCCCCGGAACGCGCAACATCGGCCACCTGGCCTGTGCCCCGCCACCCTCCCCCACGCCTCGACCCCCACTCCCCCTCCCGCCTCGACCCCCACTCCGGCACCCCGCCCCCCGCGCCGCCCTCTCAGAGCCCCTGTTCCCGCGACAGCTTTGCTGACGGTCTGGTTTCCGCGCTCTGGCGGCTGTTCAGAAACCCGATGCGTTGCATTTGGACTTGTTTTCTGCAGTGGGAGCACATGCCAGAGGCGACACCCTAAACGCCCAGGGGAGAGTCCCACTCCACTCCTGAAATAAGAGTGGGCTGACCCGAAGAGGGAAACAGCAGGCAGCGAGCGCCCGCGCCACCGGGACGAGTTCCCGCCCTGGGGTTCGCGGGGGTCGGGGAGGGCTGTAGGCTGCGCGCGGGGAGAGCGGCTGCACCCCTGCAAAGAGCGCCCGCGGTTCCTGGGGAATGACGGTGCACCTGCGCGCCCGCTGCTTGCCCACCGATTTTGCACACGTACAGGCGAGGCAAGCGGACCAGGGGGCCTTCTTCCACACTCCCTACAAGCTTGCAAACACTGCTGGTTTCAGCTCACAGGGAGAGCAGAGAGACGGCGTCTGCCCCAGCAGCGGCACATCATTCATCTCTTGACCTAGATAACGCATCTGACAGCGGTCAGCTCTTAGGGCACAGGGAGTTGATGTCCCGGAGGTCCAGCTGAACTTTCGCAGACCGGGCACTTTTCCTGTCTGTCAATAACGCGTTCCGAGTCTAGAGGGAAGACTATGTTCTTCCCCCATTCGCCTCCTGCACTTGCTCTGCAGCAGGCAAAAGGAAGTTAACTCAATCCCCGCCCCACCACCACCCCCCGCCCCCCCCCCCCCCCCGCTCCTTACATCTAAGTGCAAACTGGGAGTGCGTGGGAGCAAGGACGAATGCACACCTGTTTTTGTTTTTTTAATGGCCAGCTAGAACTCCTGGCAGCCTTTACAGCCCCAGGTAAGTTAGGGTAGAGCCCTCATGAGAGATGAAACTGCTTCACTACAAAATCACTTATAAACAACCCAACTGCAACTGTATTCTGGTAATTTACTGGTTCCGAGTTTACTAGTTTGGACATCCTCCTAACTCATTCCCTAGCTCTGCTAATGCCCCATCTTCACCCCAAATGTCCAACTAGGGCTTGGCCAACTTCCCTCCTACTAACCTGGGTATCACAAAGGCGGCCCTTCAGAAAACGCTCCCAATAACGTAAATGTTCCTCTAATACGATGATTCTTTTACAGCTACAATAACACCAAGGCTAGCGCAGATTGATGATTTCTCCTAGGTCGTGGTCCTAGAAACTATGAAAGATAGAAGGAAACTTCAAGACTACCTAGTCAACCCCACTTGCTTTATGGGAAGAAGTAAAGGGAGTTGAGATTAGAGTAGTCAAGGAACCAGGTCAGAGATCAAAGAAGAAAGCCAATTAGGAGCAGAGTTTGCTGGGGTTTTTGTTGGTTTTGTTGGTTTGTTTTTGTTTTTCCCTTCTGCTTGACACGGACGCAGATAGCTAGCTCCCTAGGAGACTCATTATAGGGCCACCCTAACCCCAGGGTGCTGAGTGGAATCCTAATTTAGCCGCTGATCAGGCTGTGATTCAGACTCACCTAGAACAATTGAGCTGTTTGGGAAGGAAAGGTCAGAGAAGGACCTTCCGTGAGTAGAATGAGACATTAGCAGGGCAATTATTGAAAATGATCCTGGCCAGTGCAGTGGTTCGCACCTGTAATCCCAGCACTTTGGGTGGCTCAGGCGGACGGATTGCTTGAGCTCAGGAGTTAAGAGACCAGCCTGGGCAACATGAAACCCCATCTCTGCAAAAAAAAAAAAAAAAAAAAAAAAATTTAAAAATAGCTGGGCATGGTGGCTCGCACCTGTGGTCCCAGTTATTTTGGAGACTGAGGTGGGAGGATCACCTGAGCCCAGGAGGCAGAGGTTGCAGTGAGCTGTGATTGCACCATTGCACTCCAGCCTGGGTGACAGAGTGAGACCCTGTCACAAAAAAAGAAAAAAAAAAAAGCAAGTGCCTGGTGAGGTGCTCACATAGCTGAATTCACTGAGCTCGGTCCAGCCTTGAGAGGACAGTGGAGTGGTTTTTCTCCAGGATCACCTTTGTTCCCACACTTCTGTGCCAGCCAATGTCATCTAACTCCTACCAGTGCTTCCAAATGCTGCTGTAACAACAAACACAAGCAACCGCATTTCCGTGATCCTGTGCCAGCCATAGCCAGGTTAAAACGTTCAAACCAAGCTAGGACCTACCCGCTGCCCCAGAGAGAGTGAGGTGACAAGCATGGTAGTCTGGGAGCAATCAGAAGTTGCTCATTAGACACCAAGTGTCACTATTTGCTCTTGAGAAAAATCCCATGTATGAGGGAGAGAAGTGAGACACCAAACAAAACACTGAAACAAACCCTTCCATCATCACCAGCCAAAGACACGGGGAGGGGGCTCTTATTTCAATAAATTATTTGTAACTCACACATGATTGAGAACAGAGACTGAGACTATCCACACAATGTCATGTTGGGGGTTCGAAAAACCAATTCATAACATGCACATAGATGTTTATACCAGCTTTATTGGTAATTGTTAAAATATGGAAACAACCAAGATGTCCTTTGGTAGGTAAATGGATAAACTATGGAACATCCAAACAATGGAATATGATGCCGTTCTAAAGAGAAATGAGCTATCAAGTCATGAAAAGACATGGAGAGGCCAGGTGTGGTGGCTCACGCCTGTAATCCCAGTACTTTGGGAGGCCAAGGCGGGCAGATCACTTGAGGTCAGGAGTTCGAGACCAGCCTGGCCAACATGGCAAAACCTCGTCTTTACTAAAAATACAAAAATTAGCTGGGTGTGGTGGTACACACCTGTAATCCCAGCTACTCGGGAGGCTGAGGCACAAGAATCACTTGAACCCAGGAGGTGGAGGTTGCAGTGAGCCAAGATTGTGCCACTGCACTCCAGCCTGAGTGACAGAGCGAGACTCTGTCTCAAAAAAAATTATTATTTTTCTACAAATATCATATATTTTTCTCCAATCTAGTGGACTTAGTGTCTCATTAAGTGGATGTGAGGAGAATACACAGCAGCCATAGCCTGGCTCTGGGTGAAGTGACTCAAATTGCTCAACTTAAGTCCCGGCAAACCCTCCAGTAAGTTTCCATTTCTCTCTGCCCCGACCCTGTCACTCCATCTCCTGTGGGCATTTCCTTTTCTTTTCTTTTCTTTTTCTTTTTTTTTTTTTTTTGAGACGGAGTCTCATGCTATCACCCTGGTTGGAGTGCAGTGGTACCATCTCGGCTTACTGCCACCTCCGCCTCTCAGGTTCAAGCGATTCTCCTGCCTCAGCCTCCTGAGTAACTGGTATTACAGGCTTGTGCCACCATGCTTGGCTAATTTTTTTTGTATCTTTAGTAGAGACAGCATTTCACCATGTTGGCCAGTCTGGTCTTGAACTCCTGACCTCAGATGATTTATCTAAGTAAATTGTTCCAGAAAATAGAAAAGAATAAAAGCAACTCTAGTCATTTCTGAGGCTAGCATAACCTTGATTGGTAAAACAAAAAGTAAAAGAAAAGGAAATTTTAAGTTCATTTTATTTATGACAGACAGAGATATAAGATTCCTATGTAAAATATTAGATCGTGAGAGCCAACCATATACAGTTGACCTTGAACAACACATTTGAATCACACAGGTACACCTACTTTCTCCTGCCTCTGCCACCCCTGAGACAGCAAGACCAGCCCCCTCTTCCTCCTTCCCAGTCTACTCAACATGAAGACGACAGAGAGGAAGACCTTTATGAGGATTCACTTCCACTTAAGGAATAATGAATATGTTTTATCTTCCTTAAAAAAAAAATAAAAGATGTGGAGGATGGCTTGAGCTTTTTGTGTATTTCTCAAAAGTTTTAAGATGTCCTAATTTATTGGTCAAGCAAAAGAAGAAGAAAAGAAATACAGTCATGTGTTGGCTAATGATGGGGATATGTTCTGAGAAATGCATCACTAAGCAATTCCGTCATTGTGCAAACATCACAGAGTGAACTTACACAAACCTAGATGGCAGAGCCTACTACACATCTAGGTTACATGGTATAGCCTGTTGCTCCTAGGGTACAAACCTGTACAGCATGTGACTCTACAGAATACTGTAGGCAACTGTAACACAATGGTAGGTATTTGTATATCTAAACATAGAAAATGTACTGTAAGGCCAGGTGCTGTGGCTCACACCTGTAATCCTAGAACTTTGAGAAGCCGAGGTGGGTGGATCATCTGAGTTCAGGAGTTCGAGACCAGCCTGACCAACATGGTAAAACTACTAAAAGTACAAAAATTAGCTGGGCATGGTGGCGGGGACCTATAATCCTAGCTACTTGGGAGGCTGAGGCAGGACAATCGCTTGAACCTGGGAGGCAGAGGCTGCAGTGAGCCGAGATCACGCCATTGCACTCCAGCCTGGGGGACAGAGCAAGACTCTGTCTCAAAAATAATAATAATAATAATAATAAGTACAGTAAAAATGCAGTATAAAAGATTAAAACAAGCCAGGTACAGTGGCTCAGGCCTGTAATCCCAGCACTTTGGGAGCGTGACGGGGGGAGGATTGCTTAAGGACAGGAATTTGAGACCAGCCTGGGCAACATAGCAAGACTCCATCTGTGATGGTGAATACTGAGTGTCAAGATGATTGGATTGAAAAATCCTGGGTGTGTCTGTGAGGGTGTTGCCAAAGGAGATTAACATTTGAGTGAGTGGACTGGGAGAGGCAGACCCACCCTCCGTCTGGGTGGACACCATCTAATCAGCTGCCAGCAGGGCCCGAACAAAAGCAGGCAGAAGACCGTGGAAAGACTAGACTGGCTTAGTCTCTGCGCCTACATCTTTCTCCTGTGCTGAATGCTTCCTGCCCTCAAACATCAGACTCCAAATTCTTCAGCTTTGGGACTCTTGGACCTTTGACCACAGACTGAAGGCTGCACTATTAACTTCCCACTTTTGAGGTTTTGGGACCTGGACTGGCTTCCTTGCTCCTCAGCTTGCAGACGGCCTATTGTGGACCTCACCTTGTGATCGTGGGAGTCAATGCTCCTTAATAAACTCCCCTTATATATACATCTATCCTATTAGTTCTGTCCCTCTACAGAACCCTGACTAATCCACCATCTCTACAAAAAATAATACAAAAAATTAGCCGGGTGTGGTAGCAGGCGCCTGTGGTCCCAGCTACTTGGGAGGCTGAGGTGGAAGAATCGCTTGAACCGGGAGGTGGAGGCTGCAGTGAGTTGTGATTGCACCAGTGCACTCCAGCCTAGGAGACAGAGCGAGACTCCATCTCAAAAAAGAAAAAAAAAAAAAAGGCAAGCTCACGAGGCAGCACCCTGCTGCCCGTGCTGTCTCATGTGCCTTGGCTCTCAATATCTCTCCCGCCCTCTCCCCCGAATAGTGTTTGTCCTTATGAAAGCAAAAGAGGAAGGAGAGCCAGAAAGCTTGATTCTGGAAAATTCCTCTCAAAGTCTTGAAAACAAGGGGAGGGGTAGAGTAGAAAAAGAGCAGGATGTTGGAACCCGCAACCTTGCCACATTAAGTAGTGACGGGCCTCACCTCCCCAAAGGAGATCACCATCTGCCATGAGAATAAGTGAATGGAAAATGGACTGAGAAACTCACGTATCACACCACCTTGGCTCTGCCAGAGCAGCCAGGACAGTAGCCCGAATTCTCCCTTCTCTGCCTCGCCACACACAATGGCCCCTAACTCCCACCTACCTTCTCCCCCAAGAGAATTCTGCGGGGAGCCCCCCGAATACTCTCTGCTGGCAGTTGTGATCCTCCTGGAAGTGAACCACGTTTATCTGCATTCTCTTACCAGTTTGCTTGGTGACTCAGTCTCCCTGGGTACACTGCCAAAACCAACTTCTAGAGGAAAGTCTGAGTCCTGGGCCGCAGTGACCCCATGCAGACATGGCCAGCCACCTAGGAGGCATGTCAGGGTTGCAGGGGCCCTTGAACACTTGGATCTTGCTTGTTTTCATGCTTAGCCATGGAACTATGTCCTAGAACATGAGTAGCTTTGTTTCTTGCCAGACAATTCCTCAGTATTGTGCAGACCCAGACACAACAAGATGAAGAAAACTCTAGACGTCTGTGAGGCCCAGATAAACCCGATGGAACAGCCCTGGGCAAAGCCCCATTCAGGGTAGGGGAAACATGGCCACTACTAATGCCTAAACCACCCCACCCCATGTCTCCTCTCTAAGGGTCTTCTATGACCCTGACACCATCTTCTTCCAAAGCGTGGATGAAAAAGGAACAGGAGGCGAGCGCAGTGGCTCACGCCTGTAATCCCAGCACTTTGGGAGGCTGAGGCAGGCAGATCACTTTAGCTCAGGAGTTCAAGACCAGACTGACCAATGTGGTGAAACCCCATCTCTATAAAAATACAAAAATTAGCCAGGTATGGTAAGAGGTGCCTGTAATCCCAGCTACTCGGGAGGCCAAGGCAGGAGAATAGCTCGAACCTGGGAGGCGGAGGTTGCAGTGAGCCGAGATTGCGCCACTGCATTCCAGCCTGGGTGATAGAGCAAGACTCAGTCTCAAAAAAAAAAAAAGAAAAAAGAAAAGAAACAGGAGCAAAAGCCCATCCTTGCCATGAGAAGAGTGTTGGTGTTCTATGCCCTTCACAGAGTGAAGCTCTAAGTGCAGCACCAGGCAAACTGTGCAAAGGGACAAATCAGGTGGTCACTCCAAGGCCCTTGAAAGCTCTTGGGCCAGCTTCCCACTGAATCCACAAACCCCTGTTGAAGAGTCCTGGGATCCTCAGCTTAGACCTCTGGCTCTTTGGCTCCAAGCTGTTTGCTCCATTATCAGATGGCGCTACTGGCTAGAAAGACATTGCTTACACTAAGCTGAGTTGATCTTCCTGGAAATGCCCCCTTGTCTCTTTCTGTTGCTGCACATGGGTTAAGCCTGCATCCCCCTCCAACAACAGGTGCTCGCCCTTAAATGTTTGAAAGCAGCTGTCACGTCCCATTGAAACAGGCATCCTTCAGGCTAAGGAGCCCGCTCCTAGACTTTAGCGCAGCGGAAACATAGTTTTCAAAAGTCTGTGCAATTCACCAAAGAGTGAGTTCATCTTGTGATGTCAAGAGCTGAATTAATCAGGGACTCAAGAAGCAATTCCAGGGAACCTCTGCATATCTAGGTTTAGAGACTCAACCGTGATGAACCAGGCTTGTCTTATCTCCAAAGCTTTTATCCAATAGGAATGGGAGGGCAAGACAGTGACTGCGGTAGGTGGCTGGGGACGTGGCTTGGGAGTTAGGAACCCCAACCTGGTTTCTGACCCTCTCTACACCTCGTCTAGACCTCTGCTCCCTTATCTGTCTAAGCATCTCTTCCACTTCCCAAATGGCAGACACCAATGGTTCCCATTGTTCTCAATGAAATACAAATATTAATAGAAACTGTCAGGCCTCTGAGCCCAAGCTAAGCCATCATATCCCCAGTGACCTGCACATATACATCCAGATGGCCTGAAGCAACTGAAGATTCACAGAAGTGAAAATCGACTTAACTGATGATATTCCACCATTGTGATTTGTTTCTGCCCCAACCTAACTGATCAATGTACTTTGTAATCTCCCCCACCCTTAAGAAGGTTCTTTACAATCTCCCCCACCCTTAAGAAGTTTCTTTGTAATTCTCCCCACCCTTGAGAATGTACTTTCTGAGATCCACCCACTGCCCCCAAAACATTGCTCTTAACTCCACCGCCTATCCCAAAACCTATAAGAACCAATGATAATCCCACCACCCTTTGCTGACTCCTTTTTTGGACTCAGCCCGCCTGCACCCAGGTGAAATCAACAGCCTTGTTGCTCACATAAAGCCTGTTTGGCAGTCTCTCCACACGGACACCTGAGACAGAAACCTGAGAGTAATCACTGGACTACAGGCAACTTAGAAACAGGGACAGCTGTTCATCTTTGAATCACCAGATCCTACCACAGTGTCCGACATGGAGAAGGTGTTCAATCTATGCTTGCTTAATGAATGAATGAATGTTTACCTTTGCAGCGATTCAACTAATGGATACACAATACTTTTTTGTTTTGTTTTGTTTTGTTTTTTTGAGACAGGGTCTGGCTCTGTTGCCCAGACTGCAGTGCAGTGGTGCAATCACACAAACTCTAGTGCAGCCTAGAGTTTCTGGGCTCAAACTGTCCTCCCACTTCAGCCTCCCGAGTATCTGGGATTATGGGCGCATGCCACCACACTCAACTAATTTCTATCTTTTGTTTTTGTAGAGACAGGGGGTCTCATTATGCTGCCCAGGCTGGTCTCAAACTCCTGGCCTCAAGCAAATCTCCTGCCTTTCAAAGTGATGGGATTACAGGCATAAGCCACCATGTCCAACCTCAATATATAATCCTAAGTAGGAGCGAGTACTGGCTCACATAAGAAGCTGGAAGCAGCTTCCATAAATCCTGCAGGGCTCTGAGGTGGACAGACAGCCATTCACAGTAAAATCATCTGTAGAATGAGAACAGCAGCCCCATCTACCTCAAGAGGTCCTTACGAAGACCAAACTGGATATGAGCAAAAGCACTTTTGGAAAAACTATAAAGTATTAGGTCAACCAATCCCTGGATGAGCACTTTTTGTAACTGTGCAAGCCCACCCCAGATGTCTGAATAGATTCCCTCTGATCTGGGCTGCTCTATGATTTGGTCTTCACCCCTTGGTTTCCCCAGCAGATCAGTGACATCCCCCAACACACACACACACACACACACACACACACACACACACACACACACACGGGTGAGGGGAAGAGTCAATGTCAAAACAACTGAGTTTCCTAACCCAGGACTAGGGAGAACAGAAACTGGAACCCAGATCACGTTCTGCTGGGTATGGGAAGCATGCCCGGGTGACCCGCAGGGGCCAGGCAAGGCCGGCCCATGACTGCAGTGTAAACACATGCCACGGAGCAACCCTAGGCTGGCAAGCCACAGCTGGCACCTCTCCCTGCTCTGTTCCCCTCATATTTCTTCCTTCTCCCAGTGGAAAACATTCTAAAAATAGAGCCAAATCAAGCCAAAAAAAAAAAAAAAAAAGAAGAAAGAAAAAAAAAACGGGCAGGTTTTGGACAGCGATGCTAGCTGCTGACGAGATGTTAGGAAACCTCCAGGCTGGGCTGGATCAATGTGTAGGGTTCATATGAGAGAATGGGACGGTCTGTCATCGCCAGTGTTGAGACTGGATCGTGTTCCCTTCTGTGTACTCCTCCTCAGAAAGCTGTGTGTGTGTGTGTGTGTGTGTGTGTGTGTGTGTGTGTGTGTGTATTGGGGAATGTCATTGACTCTGCTGGGTAAATCAAGGAGTGAAGGCCAAATCACAGAGTAGCCAAGATCAGAAGAAATCTATTCAGACATCTGGGGTGGGCCTGGATAGTTAAAAAAAATACTCATCTAGGGATTGATTGAATACAATTTTACCAAGAGTGCTTTTGCTCATATCCAATTTGGTCTTCATAAACTCATCTACCCCCAGAGAACGGCGACCAGGGTGTCCGAGCCACCTGGACACCATCCCTACGAGAAACGGCTAAAGAGCGAGACAGGGAGAAGGAACAAGGCTGTGACAGGAGTTAGAGCCACTGACGAAGGCGCGGGGGTTGTCGTGCATCGCGTTGCTCCTGTGAACAGAAACCAGATGCTGATTTGAAGGTAGAAAGAGATGCCTTCTCTGTACAGTGGACAGCGGTGGGCCAGAGGGACGGCAAATGCAGCAGCCAGATCCTACCTGTCGAAACCATTCCAGAGGGACTTCCCCAACAGCTGCGACTCAAACTCGCTGGCTTCTGACTAGCCCTGGACGTAAGGATCCTGTGATTCTAGGGGGGGCCCGAGCCCCCATCCCAGCTCTACCTCTCAGCAACTCTGTGACTTTGCACAATGCACTGTCCTGCACCTCAAGTTCAGAATGATCTCGGGGTTCTCTGTGTAAAAGTCTCTGAGTCTAGAACTGCTATATTAAGTGAAACCGCTGATGGAACAGTGAGGCATACATTTGACCAAGTTGGGTAGTCCAGGGGCTAGGAGCCCTAGATTGGGTGGGACATTCCTTTGTCAAGACCCTTGGCACGCAACGGGTCTTGAGCGGTCCCTGCTGGTGGGGATTCAGAGTGTGATATGGGGTTCACACCCTAAGTAGAAATAGTTCTGTTTCAATTTCTAACTTCTTAATCAATCAACGTATTTTTAACAAATGTATCTTTAAATAATTTTCCTGTGGCAGCCTTCGGTGTTCGGCCACTTGACAGCTTGAAATAGATTTAATCTTTGTTATTTCGTATGTCATGTATACCCACAATTGATCACTGTTGAAAGACAGGAAGTTGGCTGGGTGTCGTGGCTCACCCTTGTAATCCCAGCACTTTGAGAGGCCGAAGAACTGGGAGGATCGCTTAAGCCCAGGAGTTCAAGACCAGCCTGGCCAATATGGAGAAACTCCATCTCTACAAAAACTACAAAAATTAGCTGGGCATGTTGGCAGACGCCTATAATCCCAGCTACTCAGGAGGCTGAGGCACCAGAATTCCTTGAACCGGGGAGGCGGAGGTTGCACTGAGCCAAGATCGCACCACTGCACTCCAGCCTGGGTGACAGAGCAAGACCCTATCTCCGAAATAAATAGAGACATGAGGCACAGAAAACCCTGATGTTGAAATAGAAGTTAATGGGAAGATGATGTGGATATATCAAGAAACACACGAGCCTATTCTAAAGGGTTCCCCACTGGCCAAATCTGGTACAATCTGTTGTTTTTGTTTTTGTTTTTTTGTAGGGATGGGGTCTCACGATGTTGCCCAGGTTGGTTTCAAATTCCCAGCCTCAAGCAGTCCCCCCTGCCTCAGTCTCCCAAAGTGCTGGATTATAGGCATGAGCCACTGCACCCAAAATCCTGTACAATGTGAACAACAAAATGAATAATGATAGTAATAGACTAAAACCCAGAGAAACATAGGAACACATGAATCCACTCAACTGTGGATACAATGAATGAATGAATGCATGTAGGAGATGGGAAAGCTTTTCCTTAGAGTAGAATATCAACAAATAAGTACAGAAGGAACGACGGAATCTGTAGGTCATCCCTGGGTAATCACTGCAGGAATAATTGTTTCACACAAGAATCACCGAGTGGGTGGAAGCTTGATAACAAACAAGATATTTGCAGCTGGGCGTGGTGGCTCACGCCTGTAATCTCAGCACTTTGAGAGGCCAAGGCGGGTGGATCACTTGAGGCCAGGAGTTTAAGACCAGCCTGGCCAACATGGTGAAACTCCATCTCCACTAAAAACACAAAAATTAGCTGGGCGTGGTCATGGGTGCCTGTAATCCCAGCTACTCGGAAGGCTGAGGCAGGAGAATCACTTGAACCCGGAAGGCAGAGGTTGCAGTGAGCCGAGATCACACCACTGCACTCCAGCCTGGATGACAAAGCGAGACTCCATCTCAAAAATAAAAAATAAAAACAGATATTTGCAGAGACTCAAAATATCTCCCCACAGAATCCTTACTTATCACAAAGGGACAAAATAGTGACCATATAGTAGAGAAAACTGGCGGGCACCATCTTTAAGCAAGTGATAAAGTTACCCTCAAGCCAGGTGCAGTGGCTCACGCCTGTAATCCCAGCACTCTGGGAGGCCGAGGCGGGCGGATCACTTGAGGTCAGGAGTTCGAGACCAGCCTGTCCAACATGGTGAAACCCCATCACTACTAAAAATACAAAAATTAGCTGGGCTTGGTGGTGCATGCCTGTAGTCCCAGCTACTCGGGAGGCTGAGGCAGGAGAATCGCTTGAACCTGGGAGGTGGTGGTTGTAGTGAGCAGAGATCGCGCCACTGCACTCCAGCCTGGGTGACAGAGCGAGACTGTCTCCCAAAAAAAAAAAAAAAAAAAAGTGAACCTCACCATCAGCAGTCTGGTCTGTGACAGGCACATCACTACTACTCGAGCATCCCTGACAAACACACAGAACCTAAAGCTAATTAGGAAGAAGCAACAGATGGACCCAAGTTCTAAATATTCTAAAAAATTCTAAAAAATAAGTGACCTTATTTTCTAAAAACTAAGGATATTCTAAAAAAATTAGGGATATTCTAAAAAATAAGTGACCTGACTCTGGAAGAGATACGTGCACACGTATGCCCATTGCAGCATCATTCACAATAGCAAACAGGTAAAGCAACCAAAGTGTCCATCGACAGATGGAATGCATGAGCCAAATGTGGAATTTACAGACAATTGAATATTAGCCTTAAAAAGGAAGGAAATCGCCAGGTGCGGTGGCTCACGCCTGTAATCCCAGCACTTTGGGAGGCCAAGGCGGGCGGATCACGAGGTCAGGAGATCGAGACCATCCTGGCTAACACAGTGAAACCCCGTTTCCACTAAAAAATTTTTTTAAAAAATTAGCCGGGCAAGGTGGCGGGCGCCTGTAGTCCCAGCTACTCGGGAGGCTGAGGCAGGAGAATGGCGTGAACCTGGGAGGCGGAGCTTGCAGTGAGCCGAGATCGCGCCACTGCACTCCAGCCTGGGGGACAGAGCGAGACTCCGTCTAAAAAAAAAAAAAAAAAAAAAAAAATTAAAAGGAAGGAAATCCGTCAGAGCTACACCAGAGGTCAACCTTAAGGACTTTTTGCTAAGCGAAGCAGGCCAGATATAGAAAGAAAAACACCGTATGATTCCACTTACACAAGGTCACTACAAGAGATTCACAGAAACAGAAAGCAGAACGGGGGACGTCAGGGGCAGGCGGTGGGGGAAATTAGGAATTGTTGTTTATTGGGTGCAGAGTTTCAGTTTTATAAGATGAAAAGGTTCTAGAGATCTATTGCACAATGGCGTGAATACATCTAACACTACTGAACTGTACACATTTAAAAATGATTAAGATGGTAGATTTTGTGTCACACATTTTTATCGCATTTTAAACTTTTGAAAAAAAATGTTTAAAAAAAAATCAGTGCCTGCACTTTTCAAAAATACAAAGGCCATGAGAGGCAGCAAAGATTGAGGACACACTAGATGAAAGGCTTGTGAGCCTGGATGAAACCTTGAATCACTCTAAATGTTGTTCTTGATTTTGCTAAAGGTAAAGAGCAGTAGTGGGAAAATTGGTGAGACTTGAAGTTTGCATATTAGATAACAGAACTGTATCAGTGTTGATATCCTGATTTCAATCATGATACTGTGCTCGTTTTGAGGAAATACACCCTGAAGTACTTAGGGACAAAAGGGCATCATGTCTGCGTCTAACTCTCAAATGGTTCAGAAAAAAAAATAGGGGCTGGGCACGACATATATTTCTCTCTGTCTTCAGACACACACACACGCACACGTACACACATATATCCATATAAATATATTTTCTCTTCCTCTTTATGAGGCAGATATATATATATATATATGTAGGTAGGTAAATGGATGGATGGATAGATAGATAGATAGATAGATAGATAGAAATGGAGAGGGAGAGAATGATAGAGGAGTCAAATGGTAACACTTGCAGAATCTAGGTGAGAGTGCTATGGAACACTTTGCACTATTTCTGCAACTTTTCTATTAAGTCTGGAATTATTTCAAAACAGCTAAAACTCAGAAATGTTAAAGTTCATGAGAAGTATAAATGCTAATAATTCTGCACATTCACCTCAAAAGGATGATCCTCAGTTTCGGAAGGTGCACACTTCTGAGCAAAATTCTTACCTTTTTTAAACCCATGGCAGCTAAAAATTCTATTTTGAATAAACAATGAATCAAGACATCACTAATATTTCAAACACCAATGCTGAAAGATAATGACAAATACATTTAATTTGACTTTCCATTTGCTGACAACGAAAGACCTGCCCAACGTGAAATGAGTAATTTGTAGAGACGCAGCCTAGAGCAGTTGTCTAAACTTCTCCCATCTCATCACTTACTGTACATGAGACAGCGTAATATAAACCACACTGCACCTGTTACACTATTTAAATACCAAGCTACTACTGGCAGTAAGGCGAAGTGAGATAGGACAAAAAGGCCCTTGCCTTTTCACTTTTTTTTCTGAGACGGAGTATCACTCTGTGGCCCAGGCTGGAGTGCAGTGGTGCAATCTCAGCTCACTGCAACCCCCACCTCCCTGGTTCAAGCAATTCTCCTGCCTCAGCCTCCCAAGTAGCTGGGATTACAGGCACCCACCACCATGTCCAGCTAATTTTTTTTTTTTTAGTAGAAACAGGGATTCACCATGTTGGCCAGGCTGGTCTTGAACTCCCAACCTTCAGTGATCTGCCCGCCTTGGCCTCCCAAAATGCTGGGATTACAGGTATGAGTCGCTGCGCCCGGCTGCCTTTTCACTTTCGAGACAACTTTTCAGAAGCCCACACCGCACTTCCACATTGGTCTCCCCTGCCAGCTTCAGTCGTGGCGGCACACCTCCCCGCAAATGCAGGGAGGCAACATAGCCTCTGAGCTGGGCAACTGCCTGGGATTCTGCTACTGAGGAAGCAAGGAGAAGGGGTATTGGGGGATGCTAGCAGTCTCAGCCACAGTATCTTCTTCCTATAACATACTTTTTCAACAAGCACCTTCTAAAACATAGCCTTTTATTACAAAAAGAACGAATAAAGGCTAGGTGCAGTGGCTCACACCTGTAATCCCAGCACTTTGGGAGGCTGAGGTGGGAGGATGGCTTGAGACCAGGAGTTTGAGACCAGCCTGGGCAGCATAGCAAGACCCCATCTCTACAAAAAATGAGAAATTGTTTAAGAGCGAGAAAAGATACTACACTTTGCAGCCAGACAAGACCATGATGTTTATACATTTAATCTCCAATCCACATACACAGTGCCATTCTTGAAATGATCTGTGACAAATTCAGTTTCCCCTGATAACTAAATAGCATGTAGTAATAGTAAAAGAAAGGTGAAGGTGAATTTCACTTTATGTGGGGGCACTGTTCACTGGTATACCTGCGACCACTCCACACTGCTCAGCTGAATGAACCTTGATTGGCTAATGGAGGGAGACAGAGACTCCCAGTTTCAGAAAAAGTTATTTTCCATTCCATCCACAGGAATGAGTCATCACTGGGCCCATCTACCCCTTTGCTGAGGATGCCACAGGATGTGGTCGTGTGATTAGTTCCATGGAGTTAAGCCACTGCTGGTCCAGTATCCAGTTACTTACAGCCAAAAGCATCCCTAACTATGAAGTATATTATGAATATCATTAAAATGCTAATACAAACTTTCTAATTAGAATATTAATATTAAAATAAAAAACAAAATAGTTTTATTTCTAATCATTTCTCCATCATATACCACCGAAAACACCACCAATCACCTTCCTATTCTGGCCTTGCTCTATCTCTGACAGCCAGGGTCACCAGTAGTTCTACTGGGCCACCAAGGTTCCTGCTCTTCCCTATCAGCAAGACTTTATACCACTGGGAGAGGGGCTCGAGTTCTTAAAACTGGAGGACAGGGGCCAGGCGCGGTGGCTCATGCCTGTAATCCCAGCACTTTGGGAGGCTGAGGCAGGTGGATCACCTGAGGTCAGGAGTTCAAGACCAGCCTGGCCAACATGGCGAAACCCTGTCTCAACTAAAAATACAAAAATTAGCTGGGCGTGGTGGTGGGTGCCTGTAATCCCAGCTACTCGGGAGGCTGAGGCAGGAAAATCGCTTGAACCCAGGAGGCAGAGGTTGCAGTGAGCCGAAATCTCACATTGCACTCCAGCCTTGGTGACAAAAGTGAAACTCCATCTCAAAAAAAAAAAAAAAAAAGGAGCGGGGAGGAAGTACTGATCTGGTATAACTGGGTGAGGGCCTGAGTGCCAGGTAGTGACCCAGATGAGCCCCTGGCTGGACCACAGGTCCAGCAGCACCCGGTGGAAGAGGGGCGAGACCAGAGGTGAGCCGATGGGAGACCCTGGCGTCCCTCTGCCGTCTCCTCGCCCCCGCAGTGGCCTGTTTCTATGGTGTGTTCTCTCCATCCTTGTGAAAACGTGTTTTCAGAAAAGAATGTAAGCCTCATGTGAAGTTATCAATGACTGATAAACAGCTTAGTGGCTAACCCTCCTGCCACTGTGAGTAAGCGGATGAGTGGAACCAGCTCGGAACGGCCCACCCCAAGGGGCCTTGTAAAGAGATTACGGAGGAAGCCAGCAGTTCTTTCTGTAATCCACCCCCAGCAGAGGGATCAAAGGAGAGGAGCAGAGAAAGAGCTGAGAGTCCTTGTGGGCAGAGAGTGATGTGTCTCAAGGCCACAGAGGCCCTCGTGGGGCGTGCCGTGGTCACCCTAGTGCTTCTTCCTCTAGTGTCCTCATGGAAATAACTGGGCCTCCTGGTTATTTAAATCAGGGTTTTTGTGTCGGGTTTCAATAAATTGAGATCCAGGCTAACTTGTTAAATAATCTGGGGAGAGAAAAAGAGTGAACGTGCGAAGCTGATGGCTAAGTCTGACCATGGTGGAGATCAGTGGCTTTCAATACCTGTGGCACGTAAGAGCCATGAGGAAGGCCGGCAGGCTGGCTCACGCCTGTAGCCCCAACACTTTGGGAGGCCGAGATGGGAGGATCACTTGAGCCCAGGAGTTTGGGACCAGCCTGGGCAACACAGCTAAACACGCTCTCTTAAAAAAAAAAAAAAAAAAGGCCAGGCGCGGTGACTCACACCTGTAATTCCAGCACTTTGGGAGGCCGAGGCAGGTGGATCACCTGAGGTCAGGAGTTCGAAACCAGCCTGGCCAACGTGGTAAAACCCCCGTCTCTACTGAAAATACAAAAATTAGCCAGGCACAGTGGTGGGAGCCTGTAATCCCAGTTCCTCAGGAGGCTGAGGCAGGAGAATCACTTGAACCTGGGAGGCAGAGGTTGCAGTGAGCCGAGATCACACCATTGCACTCCAGCCTGGGTGACAAGAGTGAGACTCCATCTCAAAAAATACAAAATAAAAAAAAGAATCACCAAGGAACTTCAAAACTACCCATTGTGTCAACCCCATCCCAGACCGATTAAACCAGAATTGCCAGGATGGGGCTTTTGGGGGTGCAATGTTTAAAAAGCTTCTCCAGGCTGGGTGTGGTAGCTCACACCTGTAATCCTAGCACTTTGTGGAGCTGAGGCAGGCAGATCACCTGAGGTCAGAAGCTCGAGACCAGGCTGGACAACATGGCGAAACCCCGTCTCTACTAAAAATACAAAAATTAACCGGGCGTGGTGGTGGGCACCTACAACCCCAGCTACTCGGGAGGCTGACGCACAAGGATCACTTGAACCCAGAAGGCGGAGATTGCAGTGAGCCGAGATGGCACCACTGCACTCCAGTCTGGGCAACAGAGCAAGATTCTGTCTCAAAAATAAAATAAAATAAAATAAAAAACAAAAAGCATCTCCAGTGATGCTCATGCCTGTCATGTAAAGATTCCAGCTTTGAGGCCAGGCGCGGTGGCTCACACCTGTAATCCCAGCACTTTGGGAGGGCGAGGCGGGTGGATCACGAGGTCAGGAGATCAAGACCACCCTGGCTAACACGGTGAAACCCCGTCTCTACTAAAAATATAAAAAAAAATTAGCCGGGCGTGGTGGCAGTTGTCTGTAGTCCCAACTACTTGGGAGGCTGAGGCAGGAGAATGGCGTGAACCCGGGAGGCAGAGCTTGCAGTGAGCCGAGATCACGCCACTGCACTCCAGCCTGGGTGACAGAGCGAGACTCTGTCTCAAAAAAAAAAATTAAAAAAAAAATTCCTGCTTTCAAAACTATACATGTAATTATTTATATATTATTTATATACATATATATATATATATATTTTTTTTTTTTTTGACCAGGCTGGTCTCGAACTCCTGACCTCAGGTGATTCACCTGCCTCAGCCTCCCAAAGTGCTGGGATTACAGGCATGAGCCACCACACCAGGCCAGACTCCAGTTTTCACTGCCACCTACCATGGTGCCAGCTACAAGCCCAGCTTCAGGCTGGTGGGGCTGGGGCACCTGACTGCAAGCATTCTATTCCTTGTTGAGGAAATGAGACAGGTGCACAGGAAGCAGTTAGTAAACAGAATCCTAGTGGAGCTGGAGGTGTTTTAGAGATAATTTGTGAGCAAAAAAATAGTCTAGATTCTAGAATAAGCCAACCCCAAAGTTGGCGTGGTGCTGGGCCTGCGGACTTTTCTCCTGTGTGGCTTATGACAAGCCATTCCGCAGCTGTTCAAAGTCTTTGTGCTTTGTTTTTGAGAATGAAGAACTGGGTGATCTTCTGAAAGAAGATTGGATAAATTCTTAGGACCCTAAACTACTAGGTAGTTTCCAGAGAAAATCCCCTGCAACTCCAGGGAGAACAGAGGTGTGACACAGAAGGACCAAGTCTCCTAGGTTTGGGGCTGGGGCGTGTATGGGCTGTGGCTGTGCACTGTGTCCTGGAGCCAGGGACCGTGCTGGGCACCGCCCCATCCATGTTCTCAACCTGTGGCGACAGGTGGGTCTGTGGGGCCCCATAGTCCTTCCAGCTGACCCTCTGTGAAGCAAGTGAAGACCCTGGGGGGCTGGGAAGGGCACTGCTCTGTCTGGCAGAGGCTCAGCCCTCTGCCCTCCTGCCCTGGCCATGGACACTGGACTGCAAGGCGAACTTCACTGCATTTGGATTTCGCCCAGCTAAGCCAGGAAAGCACTGGGCAGTCCTGCCCGCTCCTCCAGCTCCCCCTGCCCCCACACCCAGGCTCTGATTCTTAGCCTGGTGTGGCACAAGCCTAGAAGGGGAACAGGGCCTGAGGCTGGGAGACAATGACAGGCGGGGGCCTCGAGGCCACATCCCGGCACTCCCGCTCGGGACCTACTGCTCTGCTGGAAGCTTTGCACTTGTGATGAAACACAGTGCTGGCGTGGAGACCTGGCCTGGGAGGTCTGGCGAAGGGATCGGCCTGGGACTTCAAAGGCCCCTCATTCTCCCCAGCCAGCTCGGCCCTAGGATGGAAAGGCTGCCGGCAGCACCAGGACCGCTTCCTTCCCAGCCTCCACTCCAGATTAGTCTTAGGTGCAGGACAACTTGTTTGTGACACTGCTGCTGCAGTGGGGAGGTCTCCCAGCTCAGACCCTCCTGCACCCAGACCCCCAGTCTAGACCTCAAGGGGTGTGTGTGTGCGTGCTTCTGTGTGAATGTTGGGGGGATGCATATGCAAGAGAGAAGGGGGTGGTGAGAAGCGGGCTGGCCTTTGCCCAGAAAAGCCAGGTGAGGGATTAGAGAGAAAACTTGGGGAGACAGGGAGGAAGAATCCGCCAAGACTGAGGAGGCCAGAAGCCAGGGACCTCAGCTCCAACTCTTATCTTTTGCTTTTTGTTTTATTGTAGCAAAACATACATAAAATTGTCCATTTTCCCCATCTTTAGGCACACAGTTCAGGGCAGTAAGCACAATCACAGTGTTATGCAGCCATCGCTACCATCCAGCTCCAGAATTTTTCCATCTTCTCCAATGGAAACTGTGTCCCCATTTAAACACCAGCTCCCCATTCTCCCTCCCCAGCCCCTGGCCACCTCCATTCTACTTTGTCTCTGTGAGTGTGATTCTTCTAGAGATCGCATATGAGTGGAATCATGCAGTATTTGTCTTTTTTTTTTTTTTTTTTTTTTTAAACGGAGTCTTACTCTATCGCCCAGGCTGGAGTGCAGTGGCACAATCTTGGCTCACTGCAGCCTTGAGCACCTGGGCTCAAGTGATCCTCCCACCCTAGCCTCCTGAGTAACTAGGCCCACAGATGTGTCCCACCACACCCTGCAGTGAGGCCTCGCTATGTTTCCCAGGCTGGTCTTGAACTCCTGGACTGAACCAATCCTCCCGCCTCAGCCTCCCAAAGTGTTGGGATTACAGGCGTGAGCCACTGCACCCAGCCAGTATTTGTCTTTTTATGTCTCGCTTATTTCACTCAGAACATTGTCTTCAGGGCTGATGTATGTTGTAGCATATGTCAGCATTTCCTTCTTGTTTAAGGCTGCATAATATTCCACTGTGTGGATGGGCCATATTTTGCTTATCTGTTCATCCCTCCATGGAACTTGGGTTGCTCCCACCTCTTTGTTACTGTGAATAATGCTGATATAAACATGGGCGTGGGCTGCGTGCAGAGGCTCATGACTATAATCCCAGCTACTGAGGCTGAGACTAGAGGATCACTCCAGGCCAGGAGTTTGAGACCAGCAGAGCCAACACAGCAAGACTTTATCTCTACAAAACATTTTTTTGGAAATACTAGTCAGGTGTGATGGCACACACCTACAGTACTGGCTGCTTGGGAGGCTGAGGTGGGGCGATAGCTTGAGCCCAGGAGTTTGAGGTTACAGTGTACTATGACTGCACCACTGCACTCCAGCCTGAGCGACAGAGCCAGACTCTGTCTCTAAAATAATTACAAATGAAAATAAAATAGAACATGGGTGTGACAAATATCTGTTCTAGTCTCTGTTTCACTTCCAAACTTTATCTTTTAAAGAGGTATCAGCCTCTGTCACGTGATCAGGATACATCTTAGTTTTAGGAACACATACCACAATTCTGCTACTTGCCAGAGAACTAACACACAGAGTAGAACATCTTAGTTTGGGTCATTAAAAGTAAAGCACTCAGAACACAGAATTGCATACATTGGTGATAAACTATATTAAAATAACCTAGGGCACGGTGGCTTGCACCTGTAATCTCAGCACTTTGGAAGGTGAGGTGAGAGGACTGCTTGAGGCCAGGGGTTTGAGACCAGCCTGGACAACATAGCAAGACCCCATCTCTACAAAAAATTTAAAGATTAGCCAGGTGTGGTGAAGCACACCTGTAGTTTCAGCTACTCAGGAGGCTGACACAAGAGGATTGTTTGAGCCCAGGAGTTTGAGGCTGCAGTGAGCCACGGCTGAGCCACTGTACTCCAGCTTGGGCAAAGTGGGAGACTCTGTCAAAAAACAAAACAAAACAGCAACAAAACCAAAGGAAAGAAAAGAAAAAACTTGAAGAAAATTGAAATGTTAACAATGGCTATTCTGCTATGTAATTATGAATGATTTCTTTCTTCATATTTTCCTGTCCTTTGTACAATAAGCCTGTTGTTAATGTTAGGAAAAAATATTACATGGTCCCCCTCAATCTGATTGCTTTAAGCCTGACTCTGGAACCTGAGGTTCATGCTGTCTTGCAAAGCAATCATTCATTCATTCCTCCATCCATCCATTAAAAAGAATGTCAATTACAGCATTTTTTTTTTCTTTTAGAGACAGGGTCTCACTATGTTGCCCAGCTGCTCACAAACTCCTGGGCTCAAGCAATCCTCTTGCCTTGGCCTCCCAAAGTGCTGGGATTACACGCGAGCGCCACCGAGCCTGGCCCACACACATTTTTAAAGCTGGTTATTTTGAATGGTTAAATGCTGCGAGTCCAGCAACTCGACTCAGGACCCGACTAGCACCTGGATCCTGTCACCAGGATCGACCTCACCGGGCGTTTGTCAGTGGATGCTCCTGGTCTCGAGTTAGTTACATGCTTGGGTGTCACTCTGGGGGCTCAACGGTCTTCTCATCACTTATCACCTGGGAACAACCACTCCCTCCCCACTTTGGAGCCAGCAGCCTTTGGGGAAGGTGGGCTCTCGTGGTTTCTGTGCCTGGCAGAATGTCCTATAATCCTGGCGTCTGCATGCTCAGAAAACAGGGTCCCCTTCCCATCTGAGCTGCCGCAGCCTTGGCACCTTGGTTTACCAGTGCAACACAGCCCATGATGATCCAGTTGAGGGGAGACGGGTTCTTCCTTTTCTCCCCTCTTGCCTGCAGTCCTCCTGGGCCTCCACACCCGTCCTTCGACGACCCCCATGGACAGCAACATCCCACCATAGGAGAGAAACCCTTCTGTTCATTCCCGGGGGGCTCGCTAGGGAAACGCCTGAGTGATCTATTTTACAGCCTCCCCCATGCTCCATTCCTGCCCCTTGCAGCTGGGGGTTGTCCAGCACAGAAGGGAACAAGCTGTTAACTGATTAATGATCACAAAACTTCGAGAGAAAATAAAGGATTTGGATGATCCCTTATTTGGATTTGTGTGGCTCAAAAGCAGCGCAGCGCAGATGAGTTTGGGCTCTTGTCGGCTTCGCCCTCATCCACTGCTCTTCCCCAGAGGGAAGCCAGACTGCCAGGTTCAAATTCCAGCTGCCCCTTCCTTCCCGACTCACACGCTGTGTGACCTCGGACCAATAACTGAATTTCTCTGTGCCCCACTTTCTCCTCCAGTAAAACAAGGCAGATAAACAGAGCTCAAGAAGTGTTCACTGTTTTTCTTCTCAGCTGTTAAATGAATACTAGCTCCCTTTTATTGAATACGGCAGGCACGTGTTGGGCACTTTGAACACATTGCCTTTCATTTTTAGAACGACTCCACCAGGGAGATAGTACTGCTCTTCCAGAGATAAGAAAGCCGCCTCAGAGATGAAATCACCTGCGGAGGACCCCGTGCTGGGGAGGTGGTGGCTGGTAGTGAGACGGGAACTGGGTTGGGGACACTTCTCAAGGGAGTCAGGCCTCCAAGGTAGGGACCAGTGCGCTGCGTCCCGGCTCAGCCAGGCCACTCTCCAGAAGCAGATTGGGGCCGAGGGGCAGGTGGGGCTGGACACACCCCAGGCCCTCTGCCTTCAAATCCCCCCCAGTCCGTGCTGCACACGATGGGGTGGCTCTGACAGCAGTAAATCCTTTCAGATCAACTCGAGGCCGAGATGCCCACCCTGGCCCCGGGGAAAATAACGCCCAGCTGCTCCCCAGTCATCTCCACGGCCCAGGGCAGGCACCGAGGGAGGGCAGGAGGGACCCGTGGGGCGGACTCTGTCCATCCCGGAAGCTCTCCAGCAGCTCCGGGTCAGTGGCTTCACCTCCCTGTTGTGACCCTGACCCAAGTCCCCTCTGAGCCAGGCCTTCCTGGCCCCAAAGCTCCCGCCTGAGCTTGCAGCCCCCTCTCCTGCCTGCGTTTCCCCTAAGCCCATATCAGCCGCATGTCCTACGCCTCCTTCGCTGTTCTCTTGTTGCTGGTTGTGTCTCCCCAAGAGGACAGGGCATTTTTGTTTCTGTTGCTGATGGACCCTGGAACCAGCCTGGCCCACAGCAGGGGCGCCCCACACAGTGGTCAGGTGGGTGAGTGGAGGAGGAATGAATGAAGCTGCGCACATCAGCAGGTGCCCAGCATCACAGACAGGCCCAAAACTGGGGCAGAGACGCTGGGCAGATAAAGCCCGCCAGCTCCCCACAGCCCAAGGTCACCGGGCTTCAGATTCCCAAAGGTCCTGTCATCACCAAGACTGGGGCCAAACCAACACTTGCAGCCTGAGGGCCTCCTTGGACGCCTTGGCTCCCTCCTGACTAGGGTCTTCATGCCAGCCCTGAACCAGCATCCACCCTCTTGACAGCCACCCTCATGATATCCACCCTCACGTGTGCACCTCAGGTGACCACTCACACCCACGTGTCCACCCCACGTGCCCACCTCAGGTATCCACTCCCAGTGTGTCCACCCCATGTGCCCCAGGCCGTCAGTGGTGTACACCATTTCCCAAGTTCCCCACCTTATCCCTGCATCAGAAACATCCTGGCCAGGCACGGTGGCACACACCTGTAATCCCAAACTTTGGGAGGCCAAGGCGGATAGATCACCTGAGGTCGGGAGTTCGAGACCAGCCTAACATGGTGAAACCCCGTCTCTACTAAATACAAAACAAAATTAGCTCAGCATGGTGGCGGGCACCTGTAATCCCAGCTACTTGTTAGGCTGAGGCAGGAGAATTGCTTGAACCCGGGAGGCAGAGGTTGTAGTGAGCCGAGATCGCACCATTGCACTCCAGCCTGGGCAACAAGAGTGAAACTCCGTCTCAAAAAAAAAAAAGAAAAAGAAAGGAAAGAGAGAGCGAGAGAGAGAAAGAAAAGAAAAAGAAAGAAAGAAAGAAAGAAAGAAAGAAAGAAAGAAAGAAAGAAAGAGAAAGAAAAGAAAGGAAGAAAGAGAAAGAAGAAAGAAAGAAAGAAAGAAAGAAAGAAAGAAAGAAAGAAAGAAAGAAAGAAAGAGAAAAGAAAAGAAACATCCCACAAACTCCGTTTTATTGACCTCTACTATGTGTAAGAGAAAAAGCAATCTGGTGAGCATTCTAAGACATGAACGCCCATTTCAGTCAGCAGGCAGGTTCTGAATTTTCATCCTAACTACTCCAAGCAAACCACAGAAGCCGGTCAAGCCTACCCTGTTAGAGTTCACTGTAGAGCTAAGGAATCTGCCACACAGGAAACCATTAGGGAACAATTCAGTGCTGAACCAGGACACTGCATGACCAGGAGAACTTGAAGCCACAGGATCTGAGAGGCCAGCCTGGGAAATCAGGCCCCAGTGCAAGAAGCTCGTCTCCCACAGCAGGCAGGAGCGGGAAGTCAGGCACTGCCACCCACATCCTGGAGCCCAGTGACAGCCGTCTCCTGTCCTGTCCGGAACTCACTCGTGAGTCCCACCAGGTAGCATTTTATGTTCAGATTGCAGGTAAGGGCTTGTTTGAAGAGAGGGTTCTGTGGCTAGGACAGATCTGAAAACCACGATCTCATCCAAGCCATTAGTCTTCCAGAAAGTGGAACCGGAGACAGCTTGAGTCACTCACAAGTTAGAGACAGCCAGGACTAGGGAGGGCCCATGTCTCCTGGCACCCAAGTCACTTTTCAAATAAACATATTATGGAAATATAACATGGAGGCCGGGTGTGGTGGTGCAAGTCTGTAATCCCAGTGCTTTGGGTGGCCAAGGCAGGAGGATTGCTTGAGCCCAGGAGTTCAAGAACAGCCTGGACAACAAAGAACTTAAAAATTAGCCAGGCATGATGGCGCACACCTATGGTCCCAGCTACCTAGGAGGCTGAGGTGGGTGGATCACTTGAGCCCAGGATTCGAGGTTGCAGTGAGCGATGATGGGCCCACTGTACTCCAGCCTGGGCAACAGAGGGAGACCCCATCTCTTGCACAATTAAACAGGTAAATGAGAAGTATAGAATACATTCAGAATGCACAGCTCGACGATCCTCACAGGAAAGCATGCCTATGCAACCCCCACCCATCAACCAGGTCGCTACAGAAACCCCCGTGCCCCCTCCCATCACCACCTCAAGGGAACCCATGTCTTGACATCGGATACAGACGATCTGCAGGGTCTTGAACTTTCTATCTGTTTTACTTGGCCTGGTTTCCTTCCCTCAGCATTTTCCCCATAAGATTCTTCCACCGTGTCCCTTCCTGCAATAGCTGGTTCTTCTTCATCCTTCTGTAGTATTCCACTGCACGAACACCACACTTGACTTCTCCACACTGATGGAACGTTGCATTCTTTCCGTTTGGGGGCTCTCACCCGTTGGGGTGCCGCAGTGAACATTCTTCTGTGCACCTTGAGTGCATGCGTCTACGCCAAGGCGGGGGCTTCCTGGATCCTTCTGTGTGCAGATGCTTGGCTCTGGTAAATGCTGCCAAGATGATTGTATGGATTTCTACTCTGATATGAGAGTTGGTGTGAGTCACAGTCTCCCCAACATGTGGTCTTTTTCTTGTTAGCCACTCTAACTAAAACAGGTGTGGAGTAGTATCTCACCGTGGCTTTAATTTGCATCTCTTGAATAATTAGGGAGGTTGAAGTGCTTTCTATGCTTACGGGCCATTTGGGTAGCCTCTTTTATGACCACCACCAAATGTAGAACTGGGTCCCCAGGCTAAGCTTTTTTTGGCTTACTTGGTTTGGATTTTGTTTTGTTTTTGTCTTTCTCTACAGTGACTTTGTTGATCTAGGCAAATAAGAACAACACTGTTCCCGGATAAGAGCCCGGGCCCTGGAGCCAGCCAGCCAGGTTCCTATTGCAGCCCTAGCGCTGGTCAGTGAGAGATCCGGGCTAGTTGGCGCCTGCGGTGCCCCAGCTGTGCCATCTGTCATACGGGGATGACAACAGCACTGTGGTCCCCACACTCGGATGAGTTCCCACCTACAAACACGCAATCCATGCCAGGCAAATCCAAGTGCTCCCCACCTCAGGATATTTACTGTTATTGCCAACACTCTGTGTACCTGAAAGTGCCCCAAAGTGCCATGATGGAAAGGAGGGAAAGAAGAGAGGGGACGGAGCAAGACTGAGAGATGCAATCTCACAATTTTCTGGTCATAATGGCCATTGAAATGACAACCTCATATTCTCTCTACTTGTGCATGGGAACCAAAGAGGGGGTAAAACTGAGGTTTGAGGAGAGAAGCTGGGGACAATTTAATTTTGAAAGAAAAGAAACAAAACAGTCTGGGGGCACTGGCTCACGCCTGTAACCCCAGCACTGTGGGAGGCAGACGCACGGAACACTTGGGGTCAGGAATTCAAGACCAGCCTGGCCAACATGGTGAAACCCCATCTCTAATAAAAATACAAAAATTAGCCAGGCCTGGTGGCAGGCAGGTGTAATCTCAGCTACTTGGGAGGCTAAGGCAGGAGAACCCCTTGAACCTGGGAGGTGGAGGTTGCAGTGAGCCGAGATCGTGCCACTGTACTCCAGCCTACATGAGAGTGAGACTCCGTATTAAAAAAAAAAAAAAAATTAAAGAAAGAAACAAAGTAGAAGCTATTCCTCAGGCCCAGAGTTTTTACACACACAGGGACCCCAGAGCTTCCCCCAGCAGAGCCGTGGGAGGGCTGCACGGAGATCACAGGGCCAGAGCCACCAGAGCGCACCTTCCTCTGGGGCTTTGTGCCCGCACACTGGTCCCAACCCTGGCTCTCACCCTGCGCCAGTCACTGGGTCTCCACAGTCCAGGGGCAGCAGGCCCAGTGCCACAGAAACAGAAACACGCCTGACAAGCGAGCCCCAGCTCCTGGCTTTCTCGGCGGGGGCCGCAGGCAGCTCCAGGCCTCCAAGCCCAGGTCAGCCCGGGCCACGGAATCTCTCGCTCCACAGAACTTGAGCTGATGCCCGCGTCCCATCTGCCAGTGTGACGTGGCCAGGCAGGTGTGGGGGCACCGCGAGGCAGACGGAACAGCACTTGTTTATTGTTTACCAGAGAGGACTCTTCTAAGAACCCCTGTCCTGGATTGATAAACTAGGCTGTAAGGCTGGACGGGAAAGGTCACGATGTCTGCTTCTCCTGGTAAACAGGCCTGGGTCATTGGCATGAAGGAACCAGCAGATCTGTGCCAGGAGTCCAGAACAAATAACAAGAGATCCAAGCCCGTTACTTTACAGAAGAGGAGACTAAGGCTCAGAGAAGTCAGCAGAAAAAATACAGGCTTTGGAGTAAGGAGCACCGTGTAAGGACTAATGACTCCTTCTACTGGAACTTGCCTCTTCAAGCCGCTCCAATCCCCACACCTGGTCAATCCCCAAATCTCAACTCCCGCACACATCATCTATGTTCTTTCCGTGCCTACTATCTGTGCGGATTAAATTCTAAATGCCGCACCTGGACCACAGGCCCTCACTCCCCATCTCTTCCTCCCCGCCTCCCGTTTGCGTCCACTGCGCATTCCGCTGACAGGGACTCATCTTCCTAAGACAGTACTTTGGTTTTCTTCCCCTGCTCAGAAACAATCACTGGCTCCCGACTGCCACTAAGACCAAGTTCAACCTCCTTAGGCTTCACGGAAGGTCCTCTACAATGAGGCCTCAAGCAACCTTTCCCCTCCCTCTCTCTGCACCCCCGCAGCTGATCTGCTTCTCTCCCAAAAAAAGCCTTCCTGCACCTAGCCCCCCAGATCTCTGGAGACCCAGAAACCCCCTTTGCCTCTGTCTATTCCCTCTGTGTCTACTAACATCCCTCCCTTGCTGTTCTCCAAGCATTTATTTTCTGCACTACCTCAAATACTTGTCTGCACCTTTTCACGTGAGCATATATAGGTGGGGGAAGGGGTGTGTGTTTCCCGCCACACCCTAGGCCTCTTTAAGTTTGTATCTTGTTCTCTGCATTCAGCACAACCCCTAGCTCAACTCCTTCACAGGAAGCGGTGCTGTAACCATATGCACAGGACACATAAAAGCTGCACACAAGTGGACAACCTCTTCCTGAGCGCCCCCTCCAGGCTGAAAGCACACCACTGCCCGGCCCCAGCAGCTGAGGACTACAGGTTGCGCCTCGACCTCTTGTGGGCTGCTGGCAAACACAAACATGACCACCAGCAACGGCTGTGGTGGGACAGTTTCTGCTGTGGAAATGCCCAGGGTGAGGGCTCCAACTCTGCCTAGAAAGTCAGGGAGGGCTTCCTGGAGGAAGGGTGTGAGGTGAGTGGTGAAGGAGAGTTCCCGAAGTAGACAAGTAGGGCACAATGAGGACAGAACTGAGAGAGAGTGGACGTCCCAGGTTGAAGGACATGCAGGCCAAACCATGAAGGGAACACAGATCCTGTGTAAGGGGATGCTGGGAAGAGCTGGGCCACTGCAGTGGACGCTGGCCTAACAGGAGGTGAAGGTGTGGGAGATGAGCATGGAGCGGCCTGCTTTCAGGACAGAGGACAGATGCGCCCCAGCACTGCAGTCACAGGAACATCTAGCTCTGCCCTCCCTGGACAAGTTGTCTGCCTTGGGTGAACTTTTTTTTTTTTTTCTGAGATGAAGTCTTGTTCTGTGGCCCAGGCTGGAGTGCAGTGGCACAATCACAGCTCACTGCAGCCTCGACCTACTGGGCTCAAGCAATCCTCCTGCCTGAGCCTCCCAAGTAGCTGGAACCACAGGTATGCGCCACCACACCCAGCTAATGTTTTAATTTTTTGTAGAGATGGGGTCTCATCATGTTGCTCAGGCTGGTCTCAGATTCCTGGGCTCAAACAATCCTCCCACTTGCCATTTGCAAGCCCTGTGGTCTTGGATAAGTCACTTAATCATTCAGCACCCCGGTTTCCTCATTTGGAACATGGTAAAAAGAATACTGGCCCTGTGAAGTTGCAATTTTAAGTAACAGTGTTTAAATGTGCTTTCTGAACGTTTGCTCACACTGGTCGCAGTGTCACCGAGTGACAAGTATGAGGCCAGGAAAGGCCAGCGAAGTGTCCTGTCTGCCCAGCTCAGGGCTGCAGCAGAGGAACTGCACCCAGCTTGGACTCCTCTGCCTCCTCTGCTCCAAAAGGCCCGCCTGTGCGCCTCCCTCTCCTTCCTGCAAAGGAGCATGCTTCTCTCAGGCTGCACCACACCTTGCCCTCCCGACGTGGGCTGCAGAAGCCATGGGACCAAGAAGCAAATCGATACCAAGAAGCACAGCCGCATGCCTGATGGGAACTGATCCCAGCAAACGAGTGAGCCAGCAGGGGCTTTCTCGCAGTCCCCAGGGTGTTCCGGGAGAATGCGTCAGAGTATCTGTCCCGGACACCGGTGGTTTTCGGGTTTCCCTCCATGACTAAGACTCTCAATGGAGTACGGCGGCAAAAAGAGGAAAAGCACCAACTCATGTTTTCTGAATCAGCCCGCCAGCTGCAGAACTTTGGGCTCCAGCCAGATCTATGGAACAAGAATCTGCATCTGAACGCCATCTCCAAAGGACTCCTAGGCATTTGAGCTTGAGAAGCGCGGGCTCCCTCCCCACTCTCATCGTGGCTCTGAGCTGAGATATCCAAACTTTTCTGATCTGATATCCAAACTTTTCTACCCCCAACAACCTGTTTATCTATATCTAATATACATGTGCTATTGCACGAACACATTATGTACATGATAGAAATTTCATATAAAAAATAGATATCTAGGCCAGCAGTGGTGGCTCACACCTGTCATCTTGGCACTTTGGGAGGCCAAGGCAGGAGAATCTTTTGAGTCCAGGAGTTTGAGACCAGCCCGAGCAACACAGAGGGACCTCATCTCTACAAAAAATAAAATTAGCCGAGTGTGGCAGCACACGCCTATAGTCCCAGCTTCTTGGGAGGCTGAGCCGGGAGGATTCCTTGAGCCCAGGAGGTTGAGACTGCAGTGAGCCAAGATCGCGCCACTGCACTTCAACCCGAGCAACAGAACGAGACAGTCTCCAAAAAAAAAAAAAAGAAAGAAAGAACAATTTTAAAAGATGAGTTAAAAATAGAGAAGAAGGGCCGGGCCCGGTGGCTTACGTCTGTAATCCCAGCACTTTGGGAGGCTGAGGCGGGTGGATCACCTGAGGTCGGGAGTTCAAGACTAGCCTGACCAACATGGAGAAATCCCGTCTCTACTAAAAATACAAAATTAGCCAGGCGTGGTGGCATGGTGGTGCATGCCTGTAATCCCAGCTACTCGGGAGGCTGGGGCAGGAGAATCACTTGCACCCGGGAGACGGAGGTTGCGGTGAGCCAAGAACACGCCATTGCACCATTGCACCACTGCACTCCAGCCTGGGCAACAAGAGCGAAACTCCGTCTCATAAAAAAATAATAATAATAAAATAGAGAAGAAAGACTTTGTAATATTTCCTTCCTGCACGGAGTAATCCTTTTGCCCTAAGGAAGGGCCTGAGGGTATCCTGTCTTCCCAGCTGCTGGATTAGGCAGATTTCCCCTGGGGACCTGTCATCTTCCTCTTCCTGAGCTTTTCTTTTTTTTTTAACCTTTAATCTCTTTGGACTTTATCCTTGGGCTTTTCTGAAAGCACTTTCTGTCCAGCCCTTGCTGTCACCCAGCCAAACCTAGCTCCTCACAGCCCCCAGCAGCTTTCCTGCTCTGCTCAGCCACCGCCTCCACCTCCATACATTGTCTCCACCTCCATACCCTGTCCCCACCTCCATACTGTCCTCACCTCCACACTGTCCCCACCCTCTACTTTTGCTCCCTCTACTTTTGCTCCTGGTCTTTCCATTTGCACCTCAATGACCCCATGGATTTTTGTGGTTGAAAGTTTCTAGTCTGGTTTAAATATACTTTTTAAATTTTTTGTAGGAAGGAGGTCTATGTGGCCCAGGCCAGTCTCAAACTCCTGGCCTCAGGCAATCCTCCTTCCCAAAGTGCTGGGATTACAGGCATGCACCACTGCACCCTGCTGTAGTCCAGTTTATATTTTCGTCTTCTATATTTCATTTCTTAGAGGAACAAGAAAGAAAACATAAAGGAGGGGTGGGGGAACGAGTGAGTCTAGAAGGTGGGTTTCTTTAATGTTGAAGCAATTAGCGTTCTCTCTCGTTTCTAGATTACCAAACAATCCAAAAAGTTGCCCAGGATAAAGTGACTAGTCAAGCTATGGAGGCTTTAAATTGCTTCTAGACACACCATCACCTCTGTTTGGGGATTAAATATCTATTTCCAGAGTTCTGGTTAATGGTAAACAAGGTTCTTTTGCTTAAAAGGAAAACCATCGTCTTCATTAAAGAACCACGGGGTGGGCCCAGGCATGTCCTCCCACCCCCACTTCAAAATAACCACAAACAGAAGTCCCAGAAATTCAATGCAAAAGAGGGTCCCAAAATGTGACTAATTTAAGGGAACTGCAAATAGGCAAGAGGAAAAGTAAAGCCTTTCCAGAGAGCAAGGCCAGTGCACTCCCAATGTTTCAATCTTCTCAGTGTCCTAGACCCAGAACCAAAAGGAACCTGGGAAAGGTTTAAGGAAATACACATCCAAGACATAACAATGTTAGGGAAACATAAAACCGGGAGCCAGGCAGAAGCCAGTCCTTCCTCGGTGCTCAGACCCTCCTGGCCACTCCCATATATAGAGCTCAGGGCTGGGATTTCACCCTGGGACATAAACATTTAGAGAGTTCCAAATTCTGAGTGACTTTTAGATTCCACATGTTTGTAAGCCTCTAGAGAGCCCAGGATACATCACCGAATTCTTAAGCAGTACTGGACGCACTCTTCCTGTTCCTCAGCCACCCGCCTTCACCATCAGCGCAGCAAGTTCATACCCATCTTATCCCAGGAGAACCCTCAGGGCCTGGGGAACAGACACAATGGCCCAAGATCACAGTCAAATATCCTGGAGGAAGTGGGTCTACTCTGCATTTATGGGTGACGCCAGTCTCCTACCCACACCCCGACAACTCCATGGTGGCCCAGGTCTGAGCATTCGTGCCCCTTGCTCACTAAAATTAAGACCCCCTACCCTGCTCACAGCCGCCAGAGTCCCAATCACAATCCTCCCTGCGTAAGACTAAGAAAAGAACAGAAAATGTGCTCTCCCCCAGGTAGGTGCACCTGCCACCCAAGCAGATGCACTGTGACAAGAAAATATAAGAAGACTGGGCGCGGTGGCTCACGCCTGTAATCCCAGCACTTTGGGAGGCTGAGGCGGGGGGATCACTTGAGGTCAAGAGTTCGAGACCATCCTGGCCAACATGGCAAGACCCCGTCTCTACTAAAAATACAAAAAATTTGCCGGGCGTGGTGGCACATGCCTGTAGCCCCAGCTACTTGGGAGGCTGAGGCAAGATAATTGCTTGAACCAGGGGGAGGTTGCAGTGACCAGTGCACTCCAGCCTGGGTGACAGAGCGAGACTCTGGCTCAAAAAGAGAAAGCATAAGGAGTGGGGACTTTTAGATAACTTTTCGGGGGGCAGACGGGAGAGGCATTCAACGAAGGACCACTTTAGGAGGTTGTCTGGGCAGATGGATTCCGTGAAGTGCTTTGAATGTAAGTCAGACCACTGGGGCTGCCTCGCTCCTGTCGCGCACATTCACCCACATCCATCCCCAGGCCTGAATGTAAGGGCTCAAACAGACCTGCAAATACACTCGGCACCTGCGAGTGGGCAGCTGCTGTGCAGACCACCCCATCCCATTTTCTGGTCCGTTAAACTCATGCATAATGGTCGTAGCAATGGCCAAGTTGTCATTGCTGGGCAGAAAGTTCCTTTAAGACAGGAATAATAAGGCCCACTTAGGAAGCACTCTGGATTGTAATAGGGTTTCCAGTGGCCACCAGCAGGGTGGCATCCTGATTTTCTACCAGGCCATGTAGAAGCCTTTTGTGCTTAGCTGCTCGTGTTAATCCTCACAACTGCATAAGGCTGACACATCAGGGAACTGAAGCACAGAGATGTTTGGGAAATTCTCCAAGGTCACACAGCTACTCAGTGGTGGAGGTGGCATCAGAACCCAGGAAGGCTGACTGAAGCCACCGTTCTGCCTCGCTCACTGGCATCCTCAGCCTCCAGCCTGAGGCAGGACATTCTAGGACAGCTGATGAATACAAGCATGGTCAGTGTGGGTGGCCAGGGCCCTCGCTCAGCAAGTGGGAGCAAAGTGGAGGATTCCAGGACTCACTACCTCATGATCTTCCACCAGCCTCCCACTACCTCTAGTCACCCCTACCTAAGCTGCCCCTCTGTATGAAAATGCTGGGGTTGGAGAGTGGGGCAGGCTAGGGAAAGAAGACAATGTGATTTAACCTGTCCCTAAATGGTTAGATAGCATCTCTGGAGTTAAAGATCTCAGCTATCAGTTAAAATGCAAACTGAGCTACTATCTGTCATTTAGAGATGACGCAGATGAAGAAGCTGAGGATGTGACCTAGAAAAAAGCAGGAACGACCTAGGGACTTAGCAAGGGACAAAGGACCAGAAACAGGCAAAGAGAAACAAAATTTAACCTTCTCTACAGTGTCGCTTAGGGCTGGGCTGGCTATCTCCATAGATATCCAATTCCTTAACACCTAAGGGCGTAGGAGAGGAATGAGACCAAGGTTTAGGATGAATAATCTAGGAAATCCCTTGAAAGGAAGAAAAGAGGATCATCAGAGACATCTTCTGGAGCTCCACAAACTGCTCAGAGCAGAGAGGCCACCAGATACGAATGCTGCCTCAGATAATCCAATGGAGGAAGAGGGTTTGGCTGGTATTTTCTGGCTGAGTTCTTGATAAGAAACTGTAATCACATCTGCTAGCTAGGGATCCAAGAAAAACAAGATATTGTCTCTTTATACACATTCCACAGCCCCTACCTTCTCTCAAGAGATGTTAAAATGGCTTAAAATGTGTTAAAATGTGACAATTTAATAAATGTGGCAGAAACAAAAAAGAGACTCCTAAAGTATTCCTCTCTTCAGAGAGTATGAAGCTATTAATTCAGCAAATGAATCCAGGAGCTCAGAAAGGGTTACCCCGTTATGCATCCTCACTACAGACTCAGTATCAGACAGACACTGAGGACCGCAGAGCTGAATGAGACCCGCACAGGCGTTTTCCTCCCGACTTCTCAGAGGACTGTACCTGGTACCACCTGGAGGGCTGAAACGTACTCAGGTAAAAGTTACTCACTCCTCCAGTCCTCAGCTCTTCCTGTGTGAGTCCCATGCTGGCCTTGTCTAGGCACATGGGGTGGAGGGGAGGAGTGTCAGATTTGCAAAAAAGAAAGGCTAGGAGGCCAGGCAAGGTGGCTCACGCCTGTAATCCCAGCACTTTGGGAGGCCGAGGCGGGCCCATCACCTGAGATGGGGAGTTCCTGACCAACATGGAGAAACTCCATCTCCACTGAAAATACAAAATTAGCAGGGCATGGTGGTGCATGCCTGTAATCCCAGCTACTCGGGAGGCTGAGACAGGAGAATTGCTTTAAACTGGGAGGCAGAGGTTTCGGTGAGCTGAGATCGCACCATTGCACTCTAGCCTAGGCAACAAGAGCCAAACTCTGTCTCAAATAAAAAAAAAAAAAAAAAAAAAGAAGAAGAAGGGCTAGGAGAAGTGGGAAAGGTGGACTGCAGTGGAATACTGTGACCACATTTGTTAAACTCAAAGTCATGATTATTCTTCTAGCAAGTCCAAGGGCACCTGGGCCCCTTGTTAAAGGGGCAATGGGCCGAAACAGGTGCTACTCAAGATCCGACTTGCGGTGAGATGGGAGGCTGCCTCCGTCTGAGAGAAGCCCTGGCATTCTCCTCTGACCAGCGACAATCTCCCTCTTCCCCTGAGGTAGACAATGACAAAGCTCAACAGGGCTGGGCAAACCCTCCAGTCCAAAGAAATCAATCAATACACAAACACTTTATTACTTCATGAATAACTGCAACATCATTGTTCACAAAGGAACCCATTCCACTAAAATAGATGCATTGAGTGGAAGGAGGAAGAGGCTCAGAAAAAAAAAAATACTAAGCCGGGCGGTGGCTCATGTCTGTAATCCCAGCACTTTGGGAGCCTAAGGCGGGTGGATCACTTGAGGTCAGTAGTTTGAGACCAACCTGGCCAAAATGACGAAACCCCATCTCTACCACGGTAGCTCACACCTTAATCCCAGCACTCTGGGAGACCGAGGCGGGCGGATCACCTGAGCTCAGGTGTTCGAGGCCAGCCTGGCCAACATGGAGAAAGCCTATCTCTACTAAAAATCACAAAAATTAGCTGGGCGTGGTGGCGGGGCACCTGTAATCCCAGCTACTGGGGAGGCTGAAGCAGGAGAATCGCTTGAACCCAGGAGGCGGAAGTTGCAGTGAGCCGGGATCGTGCCACTGCACTCCAGCCTGGATGACAGAGTGAGACTTCGTCTCAAAAAAAAAAAAAAAAAAAGTTGAGCCTGGTGATCCACGCCTGTAATCCCAGCTACTCACGAGGCTGAGGGAAGAGAATCGCTTGAACCCGGGAGGCAGAGGTTGCAGTGAGCGGAGATAGCACCACTGCACTTCAGTCTGGGCGACAGAGTGAGGTTCTGTCTCAAAAAAAAAAACAAAGACAAAGAAAAAAGAAAATAAAATACTGGGTACTAGGCTTATACCTAGGTGATGAAATAATCTACAACAAACGAGTTTACTTATATAACAAACCTGCACATGTACCTCTGAACTAAAACATTTACAAAAAAATAGACGCATCGAGAAAAGGCAAGGGCTTTGGAGTCTGGCAGATGAGAACTTGCATCTGAGCTCCACTATTCTCCCACTAACATAGGTAAACATCTGGCTCCTGCAAAGAACGCCAGACATGTTCATCCCTGCCGGCTCTGTGTAACTGACCTGAAATTCTCCACCTGGGAAAATCTGTTTTGTGCCCCCAGGGAGAAGGAAAGTCTAGCCTCTTCCTCATAAGGAAGTTGTGGGGAAAAGAGAGATCAGATTGTTACTGTGTCTATGCAGAAAAGGAAGACGCAAGAAACTCCATTTTGATCTATACTAAGAAAAATTGTTTCTGCTTTGAGATGCTGTTAACCTGTAACTGTAGCCCCAACCCTATGCTCACAGAAACATGTGCTGTATTGAATCAAGGTTTAATGGATTCAGGGCCGTGCAGGATGTGCCTTGTTAACAATATGTTTGCAGGCAGTATGCTTGGTAAAAGTCATCGCCATTCTCCATTCTCGATTAACCAGGGACACCATGCACTGCAGAAGGCTGCAGGGACCTCTGCCCAAGAAAGCCTGGGTATTGTCCAAGGTTTCCCCCCACTGAGACAGCCTGAGATATGGCCTCCTGGGAAGGGAAAGACCTGACCGTGCCCCAGCCAGACACCCGTAAAGGGTCTGTACTGAGAAGTAGTGAAAGAGAGGGGGCCTCTTTGCAGTTGAGATAAGAGGAAGCCTTCTGTCTCCTGCTCATCCCTGGGAATGGAATGTCTCGGTGTAAAGCAGACCAATCCCATTCGTTCTATTCTGAGATAGGAGAAAACCGCCCTGTGGCTGTAGGCGATATGCTGGCAGCAATACTGCTCTGTTACTCTTTGCTACACTGAGATGTCTGAGTAAAGGGAAACATAAACTTAGCCTATGTGCACATCAGGGCACAGTACCTTTCCTTGAACTTATTCATGATACAGATTCCTTTGCTCACATGTTTCCCTGCTGACCTTCTCCCCACCTGTTGCCCTGCTACACTCCCCTCGCCAAGATAGTAAAAATAATGATCAATACTGAGGGAACTCAGAGACGGCCACCAGTGCGGGTCCTTCGTATGCTGAGTGCCAGTCCCCTGGGCCCACTGTTCTTTATACTTTGTGTCTTATTTCTTTTCTCAGTATCTCCTCCCACCTGACGAGAAACACCCACAGGTGTGGAGGGGCTGGCCCCCTTCAGAAGTCTTTCAAATACTTCCAGACAGGGGTCAAGTGTGCCCAGTCCTGCCATGTCTGGGTTAAACATCCCCAATTCTTCAACCATGCCTCCTGTGACTTATTTCCTGACCCTTCACCCGCTCACTCACTCTCCCCAAATTCACCGCAGGCCCTGTTCATGAAGATTCGGATGGAGCCACAGACCCAACGCATACGAGGTCCTCAGGGAGTCTGTGTCCCACACTGGGGGCTAGGAGCGGTCCCCGGGTGCTCACTGGCGGCGCCTCCACCGCGGACCTGCCCCAGCCCCGCATCCACGCGCGGGGTGGGGTGGGCCGCCCACTTCTCCCGCGCCCTCAACCCACAGGGAAACGGGCTGCGCGCCCGGGCCGCCCCGCAGAGTCCAGATGCCTAAATCCCTCCTAGTCTGTTTCCTCATCTGCGGCCTGCACGCCCGCCGCAGCCACACCCAACGCCGGGACGCGCAAAAACACCTGCCGGGCCTATTTCCTCTCGGGTATTATTTACAGCCGCTCCCAGGCCTTCTCGGAAAACATCCTTTGCCGGAAACACAACCCCAGGTCCCCAGAGCGTAGGGGGCCCAGCGCCGGATCCACGCGGAGCTCACGAGCCGGACAGTCGCCGCAGAGCAGGCTGGGGCCGCGCGGCGCACGCCGGGAGGGCGCGCGACAGCACGTGAACGCGGCGTGCCGCACGGCCCGGGAAGGGCGGGGTGCGCGCTGACCGGCTCGTGCGCCGCAGGCAGCAGCCAATCCGCGCGGACCACCCCCAGGCCCCGCCCCCGCCGGTCCCGCCACGCCCCCGTCGGGCCCGCAGCTGCTCCCGGGGCCCGGGACCCAGCTGGCTTAGGCGCCCGAGGTGCACCTGGGAGGAAGCAGGCGCGGGGTGCAATGGAGGGTGGAGGCGCGCACCGTGCCCAGAGCGGGGCTCCCGGGAGCTGATGTCCCGTCTGGCCCCCCTACCTCCCAGCTGGGTCCCCACCTACCCGCCCTGTCTTACCGCCCTCAGCACAGGGACCTGCCTCTGTCCCCACGACGCCAGGCTCCAGGTGTATCTAGGACTAAAGAGTTGACATCCAGTCTATATAGGGTTGTGGGGGGTTACCTTAAAAGTTCCTTTTTGTTATTAAAAAAAGTAATATACACTTGTGCAGTGATTGAGAACAATAGAGGGAGGGAACATAAAATATTCGTGATGGAGTTCCCTTCCAGACTTCCCGTCTCTGGAGATATTTTCTTAAGCCCCAGGAGGCTTGGTCTTGGCCCCCACCTCTGCATTGAATGTCTGATCTCCCTCAACTCGGTGTCATCACACATGGGATAGGGGTCAGAGGTTATCACGAGGAATTTTATGTTGCTAATGAGTACAGCCAGTAGCAAAGGAGATTCAAGATGAAGACAACATTCCTGGGGAAAACACAGAAAGCAAATGAAAGATACAATTATGGGACGGGGGAAGGAGAGGAAGAACTCTGTGCTGCTGGACTGGAATAACTGATCCGTTTGAATTTACAATTTTAAAATGTTTCCCAGCTCCATCCATGAAAAACGCCCTGGAAACACGGACACTCCGGTAGCAAGAAGAGGCACACAAAAGCCCAGATCCAGCCTTCTAAGGACCATCCTCCACTGAAAGTACCCAGGGATCCTTGGAGGAGTGGCTGCTCCCAAGGCCGAGACTGGGAAGGACACAAGGAGCCTGGAACAGGAGTTAAGACAGAGCTCAAAAGCTGAAGGGGGCGTGTCAAGGACACAGCAGCCAGCCTGAAAGGGTTCTCACCCAAACTGGGAGTGGCTTGAGCATCAATTGAGTATGTCAGGAATGGATTCTAACACATGCAGTCATAATTTTAAAAATCCCGGAGTCCACATTGGTACTATTACTACTATTAATAATGATGATGAAATTAAAGCTAGTAAAAGGGAGGATGGGCAGGAAAGAGCTTCTTTACAAAAGAATGCCAACTAATAAATGTGGAAAGAATGACAAAAATGGTAAATAGCCATTTTACGGACACTCTGATAAGTGTTTCACTCAAGAATCATCAATAGATGCTAAAGCTATGAAATAAAAGATTATTCCTTGTATATACACACCCCAAAGAATTGAAAGCAAGGTTTCAAAGAGATGTTTGTAGACCCATGTTCGCAGCAGCATTATTGACAACAGCCAGAAGGTAGAGTAATCCATGTGTCCAACAACAGATGAATGGATACACAAAATGTGACTAAACACACAGAACATTACTCCGCCTCCAAAAAGATGGAAATTCTGACCCATGCTACAACGTGGATGAGCCGTGAGCACTTGATGCTAAGTGAAATAGGCCAGGCACAAACAGACAAATGTTGTAAGATTCCACTCACATGAGTTCCCTAGAATAGTCAGATTCAGAGACAGAAAGAATGGTGGCTGCCAGGAGCTGGGGATTGTGAAGAATGAGAGTTATTGTTTAATGGGTGCAGAGTTTCAGTCTTGCAGGATGAAAAAGTTCTAGAGATGGTTGGTGGTGATGGTTGTACAACACTGAATATATTTAACACCACTGAGCTGTATACTTAAAAATGTTGAAGATGGTAAATTATAAGTGTATTTACCACAATTAAAAATGTTTACATTAGAAATTAAAGGCCACCCTGGGCAACATAGTGAAACCCTGTTTCTACAAAATTAAAAATTAAAAAATTAGCCAGGCATGGTGGCACCCTCCTGTAATCCCACCCACTCGGGAGGCTGAGGTGGGAGGATCGCTTGAGCCCAGGAATTCTAGACAACAGCAAGTCCTGATGGCACCACTGCACTCCAGCCTGGGTGACAAAGTGAGATTCTCTCTCTCTCTCTCTCTCTATATATATATATGTGTGTGTGTGTATATATATGTGTGTGTGTATATATATATGTGTGTGTGTATATATATACATATGTGTGTATATATATACATATGTGTGTATATATCTATGACTCAAGGACATGACAAAATGAAATAAAATAATTTTTTAAATTTTTTATAAAGATTATTGGGAACAGGATATTTTATTCACACTTTGTGAGTGACTGCAAAGGATCCCTCCACAGATAACTTTTTAGTTACAAATGGGAAAAGTTACCTTTACAAATGATCCAAACAAATGGGATCCTCATATTGCTGGTAAAGAGTCACCCTATCACTGCTCCAGGCAGGGGGAACTTGCAGAGGCCCTGAGTCGTAAGTCTTGAGTGTTTGAGCAACAGAAAGAAGAGGCCAAATGAGGTCAGGCGCCGTGGCTCACACCTGTAATTCCAGCACTTTGGGAGGACAAGGCAGGTGAACCATCTGAGGTCAGGAGTTCAAGACCAGCCTGCCCAACATGGTGAAACCCCGTCTCTACTAAAAATACAAAAAGTAGCTGGGCATGGTGGCAGGCACCTGTAGTCCCAGCTACTCGGGAGTCTGAGGCAGGAGAATTGCTTGAACCCGAGAAGCGGAGGTTGCAGTGAGCCAAGATCACACCATTCCACTCCAGCCTGGGCTTCAAGAGTGAAACTCTATCTCAAAAAAATAAAAAAATAAATTAAAAAAATTTAAAAAAAGGCCAAATGCATCAAGGTTGGGAGATGACTGGAGAAGTGACCTGTCATTTCTCTTTTAACTTCTCATTTTGACGTAATTTCAAATTTAGAAAATTTTTAAGTAGTACAAAGAATCTCCATATATCTTCACTAGTTATTAACATTTTACCATATTTACCATATTTGCTTCATCCTCTTTTTTTTTTTTTTTTTTTTTGAGACAGAGTCTTGCTCTTGTCGCCCAGGCTGGAATGCAATGGCGAGATCTCAGCTCACTGCAGCCTCCACCTCCCGGGTTCAAGCAATTCTCCTGCCTCAGCCTCCTGAGTAGCTGGGATTACAGGTGCGTGCCACCATGCCCAGCTAATTTTTTTGTATTTTTAGTATACAGTGTTTCACTGTGTTTGCCAGGCTGGTCTCGAACTCCTGACTTCAGGTCATCTGCCTGCCTCAGCCTCCCAAAGTGCTGGGATTACAGGCGTGAGCCACCGCACCCAGGAAACTGCTGATCTTGTAACAGGTCAAAAGGGAACTCTTCATTCTTTCTTGCTTTCTGGACCTCAGGTAGAGAGGGTGGGAGCAATCACAGTCCTCGCCTCATCTCAGGCTCTCATCACTGATCCCTGAATGGCCCTCTTTTGTATTTGTTTGTTTAATATAACAGACAACTATGACCCCATCAGCCAATTGACATCTCAATTATTGACATTAAGTGACATGTATTTGTATATTCCCCCATCCTCTGCTTCTGCCTCCCTTCAAATGGAAGTAACCATTATCCTGAATCTTGTAAAAATACATAGTTTTATTATGTATATATTCCTAAAAAGCATTGTTTAGTTTTAGTTGTTTTAATTTTATTTTAAAAAGTATCGTAGGCCGGGCATGGTAGCTCATGCCTGTAATCTCAGCACTTTGAGAGGCTCAGGCGGGAGGATTGCTTGAGTCTAGGAGTTCAAGACCAGCCTGGGCAAGATGGCAAGACCTCGTCTCTATTAAAAAAAAAAACAATAGCCAGGCATGGTGGCACACACCTAAAGTCATAGCAACTGGGGAGGCTGAGGTGGGGGGATTGCTTGAGCCTGGCAGGTCAAAGCTGCAGTGAGTCACTGCACTCCAGCCTAGGTGACAATCCGAGACCCTGTTTCAATAAGTAAATAAATAAAAAGTACCTTACCATATGTAATGATTTTGATGTTTTTGGTTTTTGGTTTTTTGGTGTTTTGTTTTTTTTTTTTTTCCTCAGACGGAGTTTCACTCTTGTTGCCCAGGCTGGAGTGCAATGGTGTAATCTCGGCTCACCGCAACCTCCTCCTCCCGGGTTCAAGCGATTCTCCTGTCTCAGCCTCCCGGGTAACTGGGATTACAGGCATGCACCACCACACCCAGCTAATTTTTTTGTATTTTTAGTAGAGACGGGTTTCTTGACAGCTGGTCTCAAACTCCCCATCTCAGGTGATCCCCCCGCCTCAGCCTCCCAAAGTGCTGGGATTACAGGTGTGAGCCACCATGCCTGGTGCTTTTTTTTGTTTTTTTTAATTAAGACAGAGTCTCGCTCTGTTACCCAGGTTGGAGTGCAGTGGCGCGATCTCCTCTCACTGCAACCTCCACCTCCCTTGTTCAAGCGATTCTCCCTTCTCAGCCTCCCAAGTAGCTGGGATTACAGGTGCCCACCGCCACGCCTGGCTAATTTTTGTATTTCTAGTAGAAACAGGGTTTCACCATGTTGGGCAGGCTGATCTCGAACTCCTGACCTCAAGGGATCTGCCTACCTCCGTCTCTCAAAGTGCTGGGATTACAAGTGAGAGCCACAGCGCCTGGCCTGTTTTGGGATTTTTTAATAGTCATCAACAATATTGAGAGTTGCTGTCTATTTGAGTGTAGCTTATTTATAATATTGCCTTGTGTGAATATACTAAGAATAATTTATCCTCCTGTCAAAGTGCATTTGTGCTGTGTAAAGGTTTTTCTATGAGAGTGCTGCTATGAACATGATTGTGTGAACATCAGCAATACTAGGAACGGTATTGCTGGTTTCGAGTAGGTGAATTTCTTTTTTTTTTTTTGAGATGGAGTCTTGCTTTGTCACCCAGGCTAGAGAGCAGTGGCGCTGCGATTTCAGCTCACTGCAGCCTCCGCCTCTTAGGTTCAAGCGATTCTCTTGCCTCAGTCTCTGGAGTAGCTGGGACTACAGGTGTATGCCATCATGCCTGGCTGACTTTTTGTATTTTTAGTAGAGATGGGGTTTCACCATGTCGACCAGGCTGGTCTTGAACTCCTGACCTCAGGTGATCCGCCTGCCTAGGCCTCCCAAAGTGCTAGGATTACAGGCGTGAGCTACCGCACCTAGCCGAAGTATGTGAATTTCAACTTTACACCAAAGAAAAGACCAAACTGCCTCCAAGGCATTTGTACCACTTATCGGCCCACCAGCAATGTGTGAGGGGCTTTTGTGGTCCACATTCTGTCAACACTGAAAGCCATCAGGCTTCCTCATTTCTACCGGGCACACAGAGTGAAACGTGTCTTCATTTTGGTCTCAATCTGCATTTTCCTGATCACTAAAGAGGTGAAGTTTCTTTATTTCCTTTTGTTACACACTGCCTGACTTTTATTTTATTTTATCTTATTTATTTATTTATTTTTAAGATGGAGTCTTGCTCTGTCCCCCCAGGCTGGAGTGCAGTGGCGCAATCTCGGCTCACTGCAAGCTCTGCCTCCCGGGTTCACACCATTCTCCTGCCTCAGCCTCCCAAGTAGCTGGGACCACAGGCGCCCGCCACCACGCCCGGCTAATTTTTTTTTTTTATTTTTAGTAGAGGCAGGGTTTCACCATGTTAGCCAGGATGGTCTCGATCTCCTGACCTCGTGATCCACCCGTCTCGACTTCCCAAAGTGCTGGGATTACAGGCATGAACCACCGCGCCCAGCCACACTGCCTGACTTTTAAAAGGCTTTACCCGTCATTCAGTTATTTCTCACAGAAGCCAGAGAAAAGAACACAACCACAGAGAAACAATGGACTGCCTGCTTATTCAGTCAAGTCGGTTTTTCCATAACGTGGATTGGGATTTACTGTCAGGCCATGTGTTACATATTACTCATTCAAAAATGAATTTTCAAAAGTTTTAGAAGGTTAAGAAATCCATTTCCTATAAAGCAGTCATGATAACATGACCTTTTGCTTCACTGAAATCATAAGTGAAAAAGCCTTTCTATAATCCAGGATTTGAACAACAGATGATTTCAGCTTGAAGTGGGTTCCCTTTGTCATACCCCATTTATAAACAGGACCCGGGAAATGGGGTGACAATAGCAGACGAGATTCTTGGAGGACCACATGCTGACTCATTTATTATAAACAGATGACGTTCAACTTCTAGAATGTTTTCACCAAAGACACAACTATTGGCTGGGCGCCGTGGCTCATGCCTGTAATCCCAGCACTTTGGGAGGCCGAGGCGGGCGGATCACGAGGTCAGGAGATCGAGACCATCCTGGCTAACACGGTGAAACCCCGCCTCTACTAAAAATACAAAAAATTAGCTGGGCGGGGCGGCGGGCGCCTGTAGTCCCAGCTACTCGGGAGGCTGAGGCAGGAGAATGGCGTGAACCCAGGAGGTGGAGCTTGCAGTGAGCCGAGATCGCGCCACTGCACTCCAGCCTGGGCAACAGAGCGAGACTCCGTCTCAAAAAAAAAAAGAAGACACAACTATTTACAGATTCAGACACCTTTGTTGTTACTATGAGGCAGCAAGTTGATGACAAAATCCTTGTTTCCATTTTCTAATAAGCCTGGCAGAATTGCTTTTTAAAATTTTTTATCATTTATTTTTATTTTTTTCAGATGGAGTCTCGCTCTGTGGCCCAGGCTGGAGTGCAGTGGCACCATCTCGGCTCACTGCAACCTCTACTTCTTAGGATCAAGCGATTCTCCTGCCTCAGCCTCCCAAGTAGCTGGGATGACAGGTGCCTGCCACCACGCCCAGCTAATTTTTGTATTTTTAGTAGAGAAGAGGGTTTGCCATGTTGCCCAGGCTGGCCTTGAACTCCTGTCCTCAGGTGATCCACCTGCCTCAGCCTCCCAAAGTGCTGGGATTACAGGCGTGAGTCACCACGCCCAGCCCAGATACTTTAAAAAGAGAATTTGGGCCAGGCACAGTGGCTCACAACTCTAATCCCAGCACTTTGGGAGGCCAAGGTGGGCGGATCACGAGGTCAGGGATTCGAGACCAGCCTGGCCAACATGGCGAAACCCCATCTCTACTAAAAATACAAAAATTAGCCGGGCATGGTGGTGGTGGGAGGCTGAGGCAGGAGAATCACTTAAAATCTGGGAGGCAGAGGTTGCAGTGAGCCGAGATTGTGCCACTGCACATCAGCCTGGGCCGCAGAGCGAGACTCCATCTCAAAAAAGATAAATAAAAAGTAATTAATTAATTAATTAATTTAATTTAAAGTGAATTTGCTCTTCTTTGGAGGCTGGACGTGATGACACATGCCTATAATCCCAGCACTTTGGGAGGCCAAGGTGGGAGGATCATTTGAGCCCACGAGTTGGACACCAGCCTGGGCAACACAAGGAGACTTTGTCTCCACAAAAAGTTTGAAAAAAAAAGCAGACTGTGGTGGCGCACACCTGCGGTCCCAGCTACTCAGGATGCTGAAGCAAGAGGATTGCTTGAGCCTGGGAGGTGGAGGTTGCAGTGAGCCATGATCGTGCCACTGCACTCCAGCCTGGGAGACAGATCACAACCCTGCCTCTAAAAATACACACACACACACACACACACACACACACACACATATATATGTACATATATATAATATCTCTTCTTTGGGAGCTAAACAATGGGTAACACACAGACACACAGGATGGAATAATAGACATTGGAGACTCCAAAAGTTGGGAGGATGGCAGCGGGGGTGAGGGTTGAAAAACTGCCTATTGGGTAGGATGTTCGCTATGTGCATGTAGAACATATCTCCTAAACATAAAAACATTTTAAGAAAGAAAAATATCTTCCAAAGTTTCAAGCCAGTAGCCCAGGGCCATAAAGCCTACTTTCTTATTCTTTCTTTCCATGTTCAAACACGAATGAGGTTTTTAAATCTGTTTTTCTAAAATGAGGCCATCTAACTTTCAACAAGCCTGTGGCACGAGGGTTAGCTGGAGGTAGGGGTGACCTGACTGTCGAGGTTGAAACCGGGGAAATATGGACAAACCAGGACAAGCCAGTATCCTGATTTGGAAGTGAACCCGGTCAGCAGGTGCCTGGGTGGGGTCTGTCCAGGAAGTCTTCCTGGAGTGGGGGTCCATGCTTCCCCCTTACAGTGGAGCCCTTGACATTTATGGAAACGGAGGAAGGACAGACATTTGGTTGGTAATTGTGTAGTATTTACACGGAAACCCTGGGAAAGTGAAAAAACTCGGCCAGGTGCGGTGGCTCACGCCTGTAATCCCAGCACTTTGGGAGGCTGAGACGGGCGGATCACGAGGTCAGGAGATCGAGACCATCCTGGCTAACATGGTGAAACCCCGTCTCTATGAAAAATACAAAAAAAATTAGCCGGGCGTGGTGGTGGGCGCCTGTGGTCTCAGCTACTCGGGAGGCTGAGGCAGGAGAATGGCATGAACCCGGGAGGCGGAGCTTGCAGTGAGCCGAGATCGCGCCACTGCCCTCCAGCCTGGGCGACAGAGCGGGACTCCGTCTCAAAAAAAAAAAAAAAGAAAAAAACTCGTAAGTGCTTTTCTCCCAGCTTGGAAGAGAGCATGCTCAGTGCCCGGAGTAAACCCCTCAGAACCTTTCGGAATTCTTTGCCAGTGGCAGTAAGCATCAGCCCCCATTGTCCAAGTCATTTGCTTCTTGAAATGGCTCTGTCTGATGACTGACCTGGGGCACAGTGGACTTTTCTGGAAGGCTGCTTACTGGGTCCCATCCTTTTGAACCACAGACAGAAACAGAGCTGCTCATGGAGGTCACCATGACCTCCTACGGGCCACTCACAGCCTCTACCAAGGACAGGGCCTAGAGGAGGTGCAGCTGCTGTGGCAGTGCGGGCTCCCCGCAGCTCACTACAACCCAGGCCTCGACCGCCTCGGCCACCTGGCTCCCAGCGTCTCCCCAGATCAGACAGAAGGCAGCTGGGGGAGCTACCCATGATTCACTCTCTCTCACCCCACAGCAAATCCATCAAATCCCGCCGCCTCTGCCTCCTAAATATATTCAGAATCCAGCCACCCCCAACACCACCCTGATCGCAGCCACCTGCAGCAGGCCCAGAGACTCCCACCTGGTCTCCTGCCTCCCCCGCCACCCCACAGTCTGCTCTCAGGATAGTAGCCACCCGTGGCGGAGACGTTTTATGGTGTCACGTTAATTCAGCCCACCAGGCGCGGTGGCTCGCGCCTATGATCCCAGCACTTTGGAAGGCCGAGGCGGGCAAATCACTTGAACTCAGGAGTTCAAGACCAGCCTGACCAACGTGGTGAAATTCCGTCTCTACTAAAAATACAAAAAAATTAGCTGGACGCGGTAGCATGCACCTGTAATCCCAGCTGCCCTGGAGGCTGAGGCAGGAGGATCGCTTGAACTCGAGAGGCAGAGGTTGCAGTGAGCCGAGAACGCGCCACTGCACTCCAGCCTGGCCAACAGAGTGGGACCCTGCCTCAAAAAAAAAAAAAAATTAATTCAGCCCACACCTCCACCAAAACCCTCCCAGGCCTTCCTGTCTCCAGCTGAGAGGCCAAACAAGGCCCTACCATGGGAGATGAGGACGTGCTGAGCCGCCACTCCCTTCCTAAGCCTGTGTCCACCTGGCTTCCACCCTCTCACCCTGCAGAAGCGGTGCTGGCCCGCAGGTTCCTCCTGCACTCAGCCGCTCTGGCCACAGGACCTTTGCCTCGCACTTCCCTATTTGGACATGCTCCTGAGCTAATGGTACTGTCTGCTGCCTCACTCCCCTCAGGCTGTCTCACTCCCCTCAGTCTTGGTCCAAATGTCCCCTGGAGTGACCATCCTGTGTGCAACCACAATCCTCCCTCCCGGTCCCTGACTCCCTCTCCCCTCTCTTTTTTTTTTTAGATGGAGTCTCGCTCTGTCTCCCAGGCTGGCGTGCAGTGGCGCGATCTCAGCTCACTGCAACCTCACCTCCCAGGTTCAAGCAATTCTCCTGCCTCAGCCTCCTGAGTAGCTGGGATTACAGGCACCTGCCTCCACACCCAGCTAATTTTTGTATTTTCAGTAGAGACAGGGGTTTCACCATGTTGTACAGGCTGGTCTCGAACTCCTGACCCCAACTGATCCGCCTGCCTCGGCCTCCCAAAATGCTGGGATTAGAGGTGTGAGCCACCTCGCCCAGCCCCTCCCCCTCCTCTTTCCTGAGTTATTTTCTTCTTGGCATTCACATCCATTGACACATGCAGCGTTCACCTGCTCACCAACCCAGGGAGGTCACCATGACCTCCTACCAGCCACTCAAAGCATCTACCAAGGACCAAGCCACACAGGCTTACCCCATTCACATGTAAGCTCCATGGCCGAGGTTTGTCTGTTTTGTTCACTGCCGCAGCCTCTGCACTTACATCCGCCCCTGGCCTACTGGGCACTGCTGAAAGGACCGAAGAGCTTATGGAAGTGACTTCAGTTGCATCATAAATGAGGGTAGGCACCCGCAGGACAGGGCAGCCCATCGGCCTTTCAATTACATTTCTTGCTTTTCTCTGTTCTTATTTCTTTCTTTCTTTCTTTCTTTCTTTTTTCTGAGACAGAGTCTCGCTGTGTCTCCCAGGCTGGAGTGCAGTGGCATGATCTTGGCTCAATGCCTTCCAGTTCAAGCAATTCTCCTGCCTTAGCCTCCCGAGTAGCTGGGATTACAGACACCCACCACCATGCACAGCTAATTTTTTTGTATTTTTAGTAGAGATGGGGTTTCACCATGTTGATCAAGCTGGTCTCGAACTTCTGAGCTCAGGTGATCTGCCCACCTCAGCCTCCCAAAGTGCTGGGATTACAGGCGTGAGCCACCGTGCCCAGCCTCTTCTTCCTTTTTTTAAAGACAAGGTCTCTTTCTGTTGCCCGGGCTGGAGTGCAGCGGTACGATCAAGGCTCACTGCAGCCTCAACTTCCCAGGCTCAGGCAATCCTCCCACCTCAGCCTCCCAAGTAGCTGGCACTACAGGCACATGCCTCCACACCTAGCTAATTTTTTAATTTTTTATTTGTAGGGACAGGATCTCACTATGTTGCCCAGGCTGGTCTCACTCTCCTGGGCTCAAGCAATCCTCCCACCTCAGCCTCCCAAGTAGCTGGGGCTGCAGGTGTGTGCCACTGCACCTGGCATACATTTCTCGCTTTTCTACTGAATTTCCTCAGCTACCAGATCCGCAGCCCTCCTCTATTCATGGGTTCGGAATGTTCCTCGTGCAAACGTCCCAGAGAGATTTAGCCCTTGCAGGTGGCTAGTTATCGTGATGCCTTCCACCCTCCTACCAGACGCTTCCTCCCCTGCTGCCTGGCTTGGGGAGCCTCCATGGAGGCTCAGAGGCTCCACAGCAGTGTGGACGGGTAAAGCCTCCAGCAAGGCTTCTGCCTCACTTGGACCACCTAGAACTTGCCGCAGGACCTGAATCACACTGGAGACCGGCTGCAGGAACTGTTCCAGGCATCAGTTCCCACTGCAGAGCCTGGGAAGGGAGCTGTCCGGCTCCCCAGGCTCTGCAGTGGGAGGTGATGCCCGGAACAGGCATCTCAAAAGTGTGGGTCACCACCCATTAGTGGCCTTGAAATCAATTTACTGGAATAAGACCAGAATCTTTCTTAATGAAATGGAACAGACTAGAAAACATCAGCATGTACAGTATTGTCTGAGGTGAAGTATTGTTTCAGGACATTTTTTGTCTAGGCATCAAGGCAGAAACTATCAAATCAGAATTTCTGGGGCATCAGGTTTTTTTTTTTTTTAGCTCCCCAGTTAATTCTAATGTGAAGCCAGGAACAGGAGCTGCAGGAGGGCGGTTCTGTCCTTCCGAGAAACAAGGCGTCCCCACCACGGCTGTGAGCCAGTGCCTGCCGCCCGACAGCCACAGCACTGTGGCACTGAGGACCAGCTTTCCCTGAAGTCCGCCTGCATCAAACAGGTCTACCCCATGCCTAGGCAAGACCTTCCTCTTTCTCACTTCCTTTTGAAAGTCCACACTTCTCAGGGAGCGGGGAGGGTACCCTCCCGACTTCCCGTTTGCCCCTGCCTGCCTGATTGGATCTTTCTCCACTGCTGTGGCTGGACAAGCCTCTGGGACGACTTCAGCAGCCTCAGGAGAGGACTTCCAGAATCTGATCGCCAGGGGTCAGTATCTCAAGCAGACAGTCACGACAGCAGACCAACTCCACCCTAAGAAAGCACAGTTGTCAGTCACCCCTCAAACAGAGGTAGCACCCCAGTGTCCTCACCAATGCAAGGGGCCACAGCCTCTGGGAAATCTGCTTCTTGCTTCTCTGGCCGAGGACTGGGGCATACAGGACCTCACTTTCTGACAAGTGAGTGTTGAAGCCCAGGCCAGGGGGAAGTGTGTTTTTGAACTGTCATGTCAGAGCACCTTCCGGAGCTACAGCTGGAAAGGCTGCTTGCGGAAGTGCCAGGACGACCAAACCCCGCTGCTCTTCAGACACCTTGTGGCTGCCCCAACCAGAACCTTGGATGCTCCTGGGGCCACGCCCCCTAGCTCAGACCCGCACACAAGATACCACCAAGACTCATACACACTGCCAGTGGGGAGCTACGGTAAGTGGGATGGTGTTCCACAGACTGGGGCTCCCTCCCTGTGTCCGTCTCCCTGCTGTCCTGGTCCACCGTCTCAACCGCCCAGCTGGAAATCTTGGAACTCTTCCCCTGCCGTCATGAATGATAGGCAATTTTTGCTTTTTGTTGTTGTTGTTCTGAGACTGAGTTTGGCTCTGTCGCCCAGGCCAGGGTGCAGTGGCAGGATCTTGGCTCACTGCAATCTCCGCCCCCCCAGGTTCAAGCGGTTCTCCTGCCTCAGCCTCCGGAATAGCTGAAATTACAGGTGCCCGCCACCATACCTGGCTAATTGTTCATACTTTTAGTAGAGACGGGGTTTCACCATGTTGGTCAGGCTGGTCTCAAACTCCTGACGTCAAGTGATCCACTCGCCTCGGCCTCCCGAAGAGCTGGGATTACAGGCGTGAGCCACCACGCACAGCCTGGGTATTGTCTTTATTTTAAATTACGCATGGGGAAATGCCATCATCTTTCAGCATTTAGGGTTTATAAGGATTTATTATTATTGTTATTTTTGAGACAGTCTCGCTCTGTCGCCCCGGCTGGAGTGCAGTGGCCACGATTTCAGCTCACCACAACCTCCGCCTCCTAGGTTCAAGTGATTCTCGTGCCTCAGTCTCCTGAGTAGCTGGGATTACAGGCGCCCACCACCACGCCCAGTTAATTTTTGTATTTTTAGTAGAGACAGGGTTTCACCATGTTGGTCAGGCTGGTCTCGAACGCCTGGTCTGAAGTAATCCTCTGACCTTACTCAGCCGTCCAACGTGCTGGGTTACAGGCATGAGCCACCGTGCCTGGCCTATAAGGATCTTAATGTGGCTCTGCAACTACTCATTCCAAAAGAAAATGACAGATTAACCAAGTAGAAGAATTTATGAAACACTTGCTACCACCAGGTCCAATATAAGCATGAGGTATAGACCGTAACTCAAATAGCTCTCCAAGTTACCATGCAGAAAGCATTCTGAGAACAAATGAGTGTTCCGGTCTGGTTATGGGACAAGATATGCCTGCAAGAGGTGCTATGTGCATAGAATCAATGGAAAAGGTGACAGAAAAGGCATGAACTTAAAAGGCGTGAAGAGACATCCAAACCCCAAGTTTATTGCAGCGCTATTCACAACGGCCAAGACATGGAATCAACCTAGGTGTCCAACAACAGATGAATGGATACAGAAAATGTACATATACAACATGGAATACTACTCAGCCATAAAAAAGAGTGAAATCCTTGGGATGGAACTGGAGGATATTATAGTAAGGTCACACAGTGCATTTTGAGAGCTTGTTTGGAGGTTCTAGCAGGGGAGTGCAGCTACTCGTGTACCCTTGACTGAAGATGAGTCCTCCTCTATTGGGGATGGTCATCCTCTTGGACCGAGCACACAGCTTTGGGAGGGACGCACATGGAGTGGTGAGGGAGGAAGGGGACACCCACCTAGCCAGCCAGATCAGCCAAATCAACCCTGACGATTACTGGGGTGACAGATGTCACAGCCAGATTGCCCTCACATCCCACACAGTGCATTTTGTATCTTTTTTTTTTTTTTTTGAGAGGGAGTCTCACTCTGTCGCCCAGGCTGGAGTGCAGTGGCACGATCTCGGCTCACTGCAACCTCTGCCTCCTGGGTTCAAGTGATTCTCCTGCCTCAGCTCCCCAGGTAGCTGGAATTACAGGCGCCCACCCCCACCCCTGGCTAATTTTTGGATTTTTAGTAGAGACAGGGTTTCACCATGTTGGCCAGCCTGGTCTCGAACTCCTGACCTCAGGTGATCCACCCGCCTTGGCCTCCCAAGTGCTGGGATTATAGGCATGAGCCACCGCACCCGGCCTTATTGTTATTTATTATTAGAACTTTCACCTGCTATTCCCTTGTCCCTCTGAAGGTGGAACGTACAAAAATCCTTGGAACACTGCTGTCTGAAGACATTGTTATAGGATTCTAGACTTGAAAAGGACCTCAACGATTTATTCAAGACCACAGTCTCTTAGAGCCACGCCTCCATCACCTGAGATGAGTCACCGTCTACACCATCTGTCTTATTTATTTCTCTTTAGAGAGACAGGGTCTTGCTCTGTCACTCAGGCTGGAGTGCAGTGGTGTGATCGTAGCTCACTGCAGCCTTGAACTCCTGGGCTCAAGCAATCCTCCCATCTCAGACTCCAGAGTAGCTGGGACTACAAGTTCACGCCACCACCCCCAGCTGATTTTTAATTTTTTTGGTAGAGAGAGGGTCTCGCTATGTTGTCTAGCCTGGTCTCAAATTCCTGGCCTTAAGTGATCCTCCCACCTCGGCCTCCCAAAGTGCTGGGATTACAGGCATGAGCCACCACACTGGCCCATCTATTCGATTTCTAAGGAGAGAAGTTCTTGCAGAGGAAGAACTGCCCCAGCGTCCCTCCATTGTGGTTCCCAAAGTTAGTCATGATATGCATGACTTTCCTCTCCGTGTCCAGCTGAAGTGCTTCCTGCCTCCTTTTCGTCTCATGAATTTCTTTTATGTTTCACGTCAAGATACTAACTTCTCCTTCTTCTAGACAGATTGGCCAAAGACTCAGACCTTCCTCCCACTCTAACCACCGTCACCCTGGAGACCCACAGGAAGAGCTGTGAGCCCTGAAGGCAATGCTTGCACCATCCTTCCCCCACCTGGGCCAGGACTGCCACTGTCAGCTGCTGCTCCAGCCTCACGCTGAGCATAGGGGACATGGCCCAGATGCAGCCACCACCCACTTGATATGGTTCCTGCCTGCCACGTGCCATACCACTGCGGTCCATGTTGGACAGGTGCAATATGAGGTCTAAGTCCCTCTGGCTCCATTCTAGCCAGCACCATGGCACCAACCTAACCACAGCCTGTGTGACAGTCCAGGAGGTCAACCAGTGCCACACCCTCTCCATGCGGAGTTCAGCCTCCTCAGGTGGGGCTTCCTACTGAGAACTGCTCTACATTTGGACTTCTGACTCCCCTCCCTGGCACTTGCTGGAGAGCACAGGAGGTGGGCTCCAGGGAGGAGACACCATGTCTTGCTGTTCAGCTGGTACCTAGCGTGTGCTGGTGCATAGCAAGTGCCCAATCTAGAGAATGAATGAATGCCGTGGTACACAACCACTCATCTTTCCCATAACTACATTCAGTAGCTGTCCACTAGTTCCTCCCATAAGTGAGGGACAGGACCAGCACCTAAGATCTTTGGTTGCTTCTCTGTTGTACCCTGAAGACCCTCTCTCCTCCAAAAGGGAAATCCACCCAGCTCTGTGTCCCAGCAGACTCCCCTGTATGGACCACCCCGTCAGGCTCCCCTGTATGGACCACCCCATCAGGATCCCCTGTATGGACCACCCCGTCAGGTCCCCTGTATGGACCACCCCGTCAGGCTCCCCGGCCCTCTGGCTGCCAAAGCCATGAGATCAGAGGGAGGAAGGAGTGAGGTCTAGGTTGAGGATTCTCCCAGCTCCCTCTCTGCAGGCTACACACTGCCCGCCCCCTCCAACAGAGGCCACAGTCCCTGTCAGGCTGTCCCTAGTTTTGGCTCTGCCACTTGACATTTTAAACCTCAAGGTGCTAATGCCCAGGGCTCTGCACTATCCCTTACGGTTTTCCTATCTCCTACCCAAATCTCCCCATCATTAAACTCCTCGACTTGCCTGGTACCCGCTGGGCCCCTGACGGAGCTGATCCCAAAGTCTGAAGCTTGTCAAGAGGCAGAAGCACAGCCTGGGGAGGGAATCCACAGTTGTCCCTGCTCAGCTTCCAGCCCGCAGAGGATGGACGCCTTCTCCGGATGGCTTCTCTTGGTTTTGGGAGCAGGGCGGCAAAGTCTTTTCATTTCCCAATTTTTAAATTACTTTTCTGAATAGTTAACACATTCAGATCGCTCAAAGGTCAAAAAATACAGAAGAGTAGCTGCACTGGCGTCTCCTGCACCTCCGTCAGTGCAGGGTTGACGTGCCGTGCTGTCCCTCACAGGAGGACCTTGTCCCCTCCAGGCAGCTTCAGACCACGGCTCAGCACCAAACCCAGCCGCGGCCTGGCTCCCTGCAGTTCCCACTTGCTGTGCTTACTTCTAAGTGAGAGGTCCCACCTGCAACTGGGGAAGCTCTGCCTCGATAAAGCCTCCAAGAGCCTGTGCCCTGGCTCACACCAGGGTGACCGGGAAACGCAGACAGCACTTATGCCAAGCAACAGTTTCTTACACTCTGGGACCTCCAGGAAGTAGCATCTGCCAAATGCAAGGATAACATTTTCCTCTTCATGCAGCAAGGTCTCTTCAGATTAAACAATGATAATAACCAAAAAACCAAAGCTTACCTTGGTTGGCAGTTTGCAAATGTTTTGTCCTGTGTGATCTAATAATGCACTAAAATACGCTGTCATAAAGCAAAATCTTCATATGCAAACAATACATTAGCAGCTTGGCTATTTAATACTTTGCCGCATAAGGCTCTCTACTGAGCGCACAAGTAAACAGAAGTCTGTCCCTTTTAGGAGTTTCCCAACCAGAGCCTACATCGACAAAAGTGGGCAGAAGCGATGAAGTCAGAGATAAATGATTGTCCCCTGCAGTTAATGAGTAGGGGGGGAGGGACACTCTGAGAGCCTCCAGAGAACCCACAGAGTCAAGGTGGCCGAATCATACCTGGATTAATGGAGACACCGAAGACAGTGGCCTTGGGACTAAACGTGTCCAGCTGACAGAGGAGTGGCAGAGCCCCTGCTTGCTGGCTGTCACCTTCCTTCTGGCCACCCTCCCCCATCTCTCTACCCCAACGGGACAGGAGAGTCAGCAGCCACCCCCTTCACCGCCAGGAGCCCACGCTGATACCTAGGCACCCTCTGTTTGAAAAACAAGTCCGGTACAGCCTCCAGGCAACCGTAGCATCACGCTGGCCGTGCCTCTGAGTTATGAGAGAAGAGAGGCAGATGGGTGGGTGCGGGAAGGGAGAGACGGCACAGCACAGGCCCAGTGCCAGGGGAGGCCAGGCTCCCCCCACACACACCCCCAGTCCTCAACGTCCTTAGTGTGCCCAGGTCGCAGTGGGGGAGTCTCGGGTGTTGAGTGACAATCATCACCAGAACTCAACCCCTCCCAACCCAAACAGACGGCGCAGGAGTCACACAACTCTGATTTGAAAGTCAAATCGAGGCCCCCCTCCCCACACTTCTGCAGCTCCCACTTCTCTCCCGGGTCTTTGAGCTGAGAGGGGCCCAGGGCTCTGGGCAGTGCTGGGCCTCCAACCACCCGGCCTGTAAACCGGGGTCCGGTGCGCTGGGACCCCCCGGTGCGGGTAGGAACACCAGGTAGCCGGGCCTTTCTGGCACGCAGGGCGGAAAAGGCGGAGGGCAGCCCCTGCAGGAGGGGCCGGGCCGCGCTCATCAGCGGGCCTGAGTTTGCTTTTCTGGGGACGGCTCCCATCCTCACGCGGCCGTCCCTAGCCATCTGTCGGTTTTGCCCAGGAGGCAACTGGGGCTGGGGGCTGAAATGACTGCCCGGGGGTCAGAGGGCGGGAGGGGCAAAGGTGGGACTCAGGCCAGAGCTGCCCACCTCCCGCGCCGCGCTGCCCCTCTCCGTGCCCCCGAGCCCACCAATCCCGCCCTCAGGACCCCGGGCCCCGCCGCCCTCCGGGTCTCTCCGGGTCCGGAGCCCTGGTATATCTGCGGCCCGGGGCTGGAGCGCAGCGGGAAGCGGGAATTCGCTGCAAGTGCCGCCCCCGGCTCGGGCACGTGGTGGCGGCCGGAGTCGCCAGAGGGGACGCGCGGGTCTGGAGGAGGTAGCGCGGGTCTGGAGGCACAATGCGGGGCTGCAGAGGAGACGCGGGGCCGGAAAGGAGACGCGAGGCCGGAAAGGAGACGCGAGGCCGGAGGGGGACGCGTGGGGCCGGAGGGGACACGCAGGACCGGAGGAGACAGTGCGGATCTGGAGGGACACGCGGGTCCGGGGCGCAGCGCAGGGCGGAGGGGACAAGGCGGAGCGCGTCTCGCTTGGCCCCGGGCGGCACCGCCGCAGCCCGGGTGCACAGTGCTTCCGCGCCTGGCGAGGACCCAAGGCTCGGGTACCCACAGGCGGCCGCTCAGGTCCCCGCGCGCGCTGGGGGCGTGGGCCGCGTCACCGGGACTCCTACCTTTCCTGAAGGGCATCGCGCCGGGGGCGCTCCCCGCGGGGCCGGCCCGCGACACCCAGACAGGACGACGTCCAAGCGGCAGCCCCGCGACTCGGGGCGCCTGCGGGCGGCGGGGCGGGCGAGGGAGGGGAAAGGGACATATTTGGTCAAAGCCTGGCGCGTCACGGCGCGGAGGAGGATCCGCGGCGAGGCAGGAAGCGCGGGGCGGCGCCAGCCGTGAGCTCCGGGCGCCCTCGGGCTGCTGGGGGAAGCCGGGGCGTGGGCCGGGCCGCCCTGTCCCGCCCAGATCCCCCCGGTCCCGCAGGGGCGGCCCGCAGCCCCCCAGACGCGGAACTTGCCGGCCTTGAAGCTGCCGCCTGTCTTGTGGACTCCACGGGACAGGGGAAAACTGGTCCGGGAAGAAACCAACTCCCTTTTCTCTTTCGGGCTGTTCCGAGCCATCCTTCCCGAAGGACGAGACCTGAGGGAATTCCATCTTATTTTTACTTTTATGTCCTACGGGCACAGGGGACACGCTCGAATCACCAGCTGACTCAAATTGAACAAACTGAAATTGTGTAATTTTTTCTTTCTCTTTTTTTTTTTTGTTTGTTGTTTTGGGGGGTGTGTGTGTGTGTGTGTGTGTGTTTTGAGACAGGATCTCACTCTGTCGCCCAGGCTGGAGTGCAGCGGTGCGATCATAGCTCACTGCAGCCTCCACCTCCCCAGGCTCAACCCATACTCCTGCTTCAGCCTCCCAAGTAGCTGGGATTACAGGCGTGCGCCACCACGCCCAGATAATTTTTCTAAATGTTTTTGTAGAAACGGGTATTGTCATGTTGCCCAGGCTGGTCGGGAACTCCTGGTTTAAAGTGATCTGCCCACCTCGGCCTCGCAAAGTGCTGGGATTACAGGCGTGAGCCACCGCGCCCGGCAGAATTGCAATTAACTGCTGGCTAGAGGGAGCACCCCGGAAACTCGCGTCTTTCACTGGGGGCCTCCCCACTACCTCGGTTTAACCTCGACCCTTCCACGTCCCGCCGGCTGCCTTCTCTCCACCGCACGGGTCACCGCCTGACCGACTCCCTATGTGCTTATTAGTGTGTGGGGTCTATGAAAGCAGCCAATTTGTTTTTATTTTGTTCGCTGTTTTCCCGGAGCCTGAAACAGTCTCTCACACACAGCTCAATAAATATTACTCAATATTACGTCCCTTACTCAAGGGAAGTAATAGTGCGACTTAAGAAACGGACATACGGAAATGCAGGGAGTCACCTCCCGGCACCACTGACCTTGCCTCCGCAAAGGCCAACATCTGAGAAGATGCCTTCTATTCCTCCCTAATGTCTAACAAGCAGACCTTCTTTGGAGCCAGTTAACAGTTAATTGTTGTGAAAAGTGCTATTTTCTGTTGCACTTCGAAAAAAAATTATGTCAGGAGCAAATCTCCTGATCTCCTGATATTTAAAACACCCAGGCAAATAGCAATTGGCCCGCTTCCCATGCGGTGGCAAAAATCATGCAGGAAAGGTACAGCCAGTAGGTGTGGGTGGTTTTTTTTTTCTTTAATCTTTCGTAATCATAATTTGTTTCTTAGCCTGCTATCGTTCGTGGGTAATAGTCCAAATTCCTCCCTCTTTGGAAGGGAGATGACGCCACGGGGAGGAAGCCACTGTCGGGTGGGACGGTGTCTTGCCAGTTGGCTTGGGACACAGCTGCTGGTGGAGCCTTCAGAACAGACCCTGCTCGTGGGCCTGGCTGTAGATGGAGTCCTGAGCCCTGATTTCAGCTTCTGCGCCACCGCCTTTGGGGGTGTGAGTGTCAGCGAAGCAGGAAGTGGGGGAACAGAAGGGTGCCCCAAATCCAAAGTTAGGTGTAATCGTCAGCTCCCTCTGTCCTTTTCCCTGCCATAATTGCAATGGCAGGTGGACCTGGACTTAGCTCCATGGACGTAACTGCTACAGAAGACAAATTTTATCCAAGGCCAAGGGTTCCAGATAAAGCGTGCATCATCCCGCCTGTATCAGACTCGCCACCGCCGCCGTCATAGTAAGGCCAGAGCACATGCCCTCAGAGGTGGATGGGGCCGTGGCTGCATATTTGGTCTTTGATCCTGTTTTCTGGTCCAGAGCTTCCAAAACCCTTGGGATCTCCAGAGGGATGAGTGTTTTTTGAATGTCAGTGAGAGGACTGGGCAGCTCCAGGATGGGGGCTGGGAGCTGGAATTAGTCAGAACTTTCAGCTCAGACCTCTGACCTTTGGGGAGGGGAGAGGGGCTGGAGATTAAGTTAATCACCAACAGCCAGTGATTAATCAATCATGCCTACATAATGAATCCAAAAAAAAAAAAAAAAAGAGCCCCAAATGACAGAATGTGAGCCAGGCAGGGTGGCTCACACCTGTAATCCCAGCACTGGGAGGCCGAGGTGGGTGGATCACTGGAGGTCAGGAGTTTGAGACCAGCCTGGTCAACATGGTGAAACCCCGTCTCTACTAAAGGTACAAAAATTAGCCAGACATGTGGCAGACACTTGTCATCCCAGCTGCTCGGGAGGCTGAGGCAGGAGAATTGCTTGAACCCAGGAAGCAGAGGTTGCAGTGAGCCGAGACCGTGCCACTGCGCTCCAGCCTGGGTGACAGAGCAAGACGCTGACTCAAAAAAAAAAATGTGGAGAATTTCTGGGTTGGTGAACACATGGAGGTGTGTTGGGAGGGGTGGCAGCCTGGAGAGGATGAGGAAGCCCCTTGGCCTTCCACCCCCCTCACCTCGTCCTAAGCATCTTTTCCATCTGGCTGTTCTGAGTCCAATGCTTTATATTAATAATAAACCAGTACCAGTAAAGTGCCTTCCTGAGTTCTGTGAGCTGTTCTAGCAAATTACTGAATGTGAAACTGGGAGGGAGGGTGGGGGGAATGTAGGAAACCCCCAACTTTGTAGCCAAGTTGGACAGAAGTGTGGGTACCCTGGGCTGGAGTCAGGAGGCTGGCGTCTGAACTCAGGGCAGTCCTGAGGGACTGAGCCTCGGAGCCTGTGGAGTTAGTGTCACGTTTGAACGGAATCGTAGGCCACCCAGTTGGTGTCTGGAGAGTTGGGAGAACTGGTTTTCGGTGTGAAAAAAACCCACGCACTTGGTATCAGAGGTGTTGTGAGTAAAAACAGGTCAGATTCATGTATTCTGATCTCGCTACTCTGAGTTCGTTTGAATCCTGTGTAGAAAAAAAAAAGAACATTGGAACTCGTTACTGTCTTGTTTCTGTTCCATGTTCAGATAACCGCCCTCTCAGATTTTTGTGGTTGTTTAATAGTCCCTGGGAACATTTGTCCTCTCACCACCAACCAGAGTCAGCCAACTAGGATCGATGTCAGTGTCAAATAACTCAGAGTGGTTCTGTGTTGTCCTTCGCGGAAGGCAAATCCACCCGGCAGGAACGGCTGCCTCTGCAGATCCATGCGGCGATAGAACAGGGCGGAGGGGGTTGGATTTGCTGAGCCATCCGGGATTGAACAACGAACTCGCCACAGCCGTGCTGGTCAGGGAAACGGCGGGGATCGTGGGCACGGTCCCTCTGGTTTTCAGACCTGGAGAAAAGATCCGAAGCAATTTTAAATTAAGACTATATTCCCAGACCTGTCAACACTATAGTATGAATCACGGAACTGAGTACTTTCATTATTACTCACCAAACTTGCAAGTGTGTCTGCTGACATCTCCGTGCTCAATCTGCTGGACTATTGATGTGAGCACTGCTGTGCTCCAGAGGAGTTCTTAGCATGTCCCAGTGATGTTCAAAATGTAACCCGATTGCAAGGGTTCATGAGGAAACCAAGGATTGCCCGGCCAGGCTCAAGTCTTCCTCATCCTTCTTCCTTCTGCCATCTTTTGAGAATGGTCACCGTAAGTGGCATGATTTGGTAACCGGAGGTCCTGAGCACAAAGGTTCTCAAACCTGAACAGATATCGGAACCACCCACCTGGAGGGCTGGGCACACTGATTGTTTCCCGAGTTTCTAACTGAGTAAGTCTTGTGGGGATTGGGGGCAAGAATGCGCATTTCTAGCATTCTAGGCGGAGTCCCAGGTGATGCTGACCATTGTGCTGCTTAGTTCAGTCCACTACTTCTGGACCACACCCCAGAGCTGAAGAGGAAAGGAGCGACTTATGCCTGCAGGTGACCAAGGGTAGGGACCCCAGGGCCCCAGGGGCTACAGACCCCTTATGCAGCGACCCCTCCCTGGGCAGACCTACCCGCAGATGAGCTGTCAATCCTGAGGCTCCTGTGGCCAGGGCAGGGGAAAAGGGAGGCGCCGCCTTCCTCCCTTACGTCGGTGCCCAGGCTCCGGGGACAGCAGGTGCCGTGGCCACAGCTTCCGGTTGCCCTCATTGCAGGAAGAAAAGGGCTCCTTCCTGGAGTTCTCTCCAGTTCGTAGGCTGACGGCTCCCATGCTGTCTCAGAAGGGAAAGTGGCACTCAGTAGGAGGGGATCTGACACTCCCTACTCAGAAACTCCTGCCTGCCACAGCCTCTCTCTGGCTGCATGTTTGCATTTTGGGCCTTTCCTCTCTGATGATAGAAAGTATGGCTTTGTCTCCCATTCCCAGCAAAGGAATTCCAGGCTGTGGGAAGCATGCTGGGATCCTTTGATGCGGGCGGGGACAATGGCAATAAAGAACCTGTGTGAAGGAGTGCGGCGGGCAGGGCCAGCCAGGTCCACGGAGTACTTGAGGCCAATGCCTTTCCTGTGCACGCCCACCCGAGGCCTCTGCCACATCTCCGATGTGAGAGTCCAGAGCCCACCCCAAGGCCTCTGCCACATCCCCGACGTGAGTGTCCAGAGCCGTTCCCACTACCGGGCTGTCCCCACGCCACGGCCCGCGTGTGGTGTGGATCCGCCTCCTCAAGCTCCCCATCTCCTTGGAGTTTGCCAGAAGGCTGGGGGATCTGGGATGGGTCTGAGTCCCTGCTGGGTCCCTTCCTATGCTGTGTGAAAAACGGTCTTTGAGCCTGTGTTTTGTCCATGCAGCACAAGGAGAGCTTAATAAATGGGTGCTTCTATTGTTATTATCATCAGTATTACCATTATCATCATCATTATTATATTACCATTATCATCATCATTATGATCATTGCCATTATCATCATCATTATGATCATTGCCATTATCATCATTATTGTTTAGCTGGGAGCAGAGAGGGGCTGCTTTAACCGCCCCAGGGTAGTGAATAGGAAGCTCTGGTCTCCAAGAAGAGTGAGGAGGAGGGGGCGCCTGGGTGGGCACCACAGCTGAGAAGGACAGGACAAGAGAAACCCCACCTGCTGGGGCATGGGCTCTCAGACCATTCGTGTGTGTGTGCACGCACATGCATGTAACTGTGAAAGGATTCATGATTCACAGCATCGGAGAGAACTATGAACACTGCAAGTAAGTAAATGAGGCCGGGCGCGGTGGCTCACGCCTGTAATCCCAGCCTTTTGGGAAGTCGAGGCAGGTGGATCACCTGAGGTCGGGAGTTTGAGACCAGCCTGGCCAACATGGTGAAACCCTGTCTCTTCTAAAAATACAAAAATTAGCTGGGCATGGTGGCACACGTCTGTAATCCCAGCTACTCAGGAGGCTGAGGCATGAGAATCACTTGAACCCAGGAGGCGGAGATTACAGTGAGCCGAGATTGTACCACTGCCCTCCAGCCTGGGTGACAGAGCACGACTCTGTCTCAAAAGAAGCAAAAAAGCAAGCAAGCAAACAAACAAGCAAGCAAGCTAGAAGAAAAAAAGAAAGTAAATGAGTGCATCTACCTCCCAGGTCTTGGTATTCTAAATACCATCCTCCAATTAAAGGAACCAGGAGATCTCAGAGGGTTAGAGGGTTAGGGTGGGAAAGCACAACATGAGCTGGGAGCATCTGTGGTGCCCCAAAACGATGGGGACATGTCCCAAAGACACCAGGGCTGACCTGAAGGGGCTCTTCTGGGACAGTCTGAAGAACAAGATAGTATGGTAGTAGATGGATTGTGACCCATGGAATTAAAGAAGAATCTTGAGCCCATACTGATTTAAATAAATAGATGAATGAATGAGGGAAGAGAGAAAGCTTTTCCTTACAGTAGAATTCCAACCAATACATGTAGAAGGAATCATGGAACTAGAAAAATCACCATTTGGTGAATGCCACAATGTACTTGTTTCAGGGAAGAATCATCAGTGGGTGTTAAAATTAGTGGGCAAAATACCATGAGAAACAGGATATGGACAGATTCAAAGCATCTCCCCACCAGACAATTATCCATTACAAAGGGGAAAATGGTAACTTTATAGGGGAGAAATCTGGCAGACCTCACCAGGAATGGGCGGAATCAACGTCACGTCCTTCCCGACATGGTTCATAGGAAAGGATACCGAGTCACATCTGTGGTATTCCTGCCAAAAATGCATACGCTGAATCTGATCGCAAGGCAACATGAGACACCTAAAATAAGGGATGTGCAACAAAATACCCAGCCAGGACGTCTCAGAAATGTCCAAATCACGAAAGACAAAGCGGGTGGAGGAAGCGTTCCACATTCAAGGAGACTGAAGAGACATGATGACCAACAGCCGCACCCTGGACTGATCCTGAACCCCCAAAAGGCTATTCATAGGACAGTTGATGAAATGCAAGTTAATTATTATTCACTGATTATTAGCCAGTTATTAATTCTCACATTTTGATAATTGTGCTGTGGTTATGTGACGTTTAGGGAAGCTGAGCGAAGGATAAAGTCATAATAAGTCATTTAGCCACGAGGATGCATTCTCAGATTGGCCAGGTACAGTGGCTCATGCCTGTAATTCCAGCACTTTGGGAGGCCAAGGCAGGAGGATCACTTGAGGCCAGGAGTTCAAGACAGCCTGGGCAATATAGCAAGACTCCATCTCTACAAGAAAATTTTAAAAATTAGCTGGGTGTGGTGGCAGTGCACGCCTGGACTCCCAGCCACTGGGAAGGCTGAGGAGGGAGGATGGCTTGAACCTGGGAGGTTGAGGCTGCAGTGAGTCATGGTCACGCCATTGCACTCCAGCCTGGGCAACAGAGAGAGACACGTTTCGAAAAAAAGGAAAAGAAAAATCAGTTTTCTTCCACTAAAACAGTAAGTTTAATTTTCCTAATTTGCTGTTTGTACAGTATGGTCCTCTGCTCCAAGCTTAAAACAAAAATCTATAGGAAACGTCACCTTTCTAGAGGAAGCTGAGATGGAGCAGCTCTCGTTCTACAGGAGGGGCTGCACAAGCTCTCACCACACATCTCTGTCCTCAGGAAAAGCCTGTGCTGAGTGACCAGGAGTTTCTTGTCACTGCTGCATTTTCTTCTTCTTGTTTTTTGTTTGTTTGTTTGTTTGTTTTTGAGACAGGACTGTGGCCCAGGCTGGAATGAATGCAGTGGCGTGATCACCGTTCACTGCGGCCTCAACCTCCCGGGCTCAAGCAGTCCTCCCATCTCAGCTTCCCAGATACCTGGGATCACAGGTATGTGCCATCACACCCAGCTAATTTTTTGTATTTTTGGTAGAGACGGGGTTTCACCATGTTGTCCAAGCTGGTCTTGAACTCCTAGGCTCAAGTGATCTGCCTGCCTTGGCCTCCTGAAGTGCTGGGATTACAGGTGTGAGCCACCACACCTGGCCTCATCCCTGAAGCATTTTCTGCCACGTCTTAGGCTGCATTGGTGACATAATCTGGGGGCTGCCGCCCCTCACAGCTACGTGACTTCATATGCAAGCTCCTTGGCCTCACTGTGCCTCAGTTTCCTCATCTGTAAAATGGAGACAATAATAACACCTGCCCCTAGGGTGGCTGTGAGCATTGCATGAGATAACATGTGTGTCAGTCAGGAGTTTTGGCTGCAAGCTAGGGATCCAACTCTGGGTGATTAAATCAGAGAGGAATTTATTGGAGGGTATCGAGTAGCTCACAGGTTTGGGAGAAAGTCAGGAGAACTAGCCAAAGCTGCCAGAACTCTGGCCAAATTCACATCAGAGGGCGGCTCTGGCAAACTCAGGACGCTAGATCCGCATGGGGGCACCGCCTCTTGAGCCTGCTCCTTTGTCTCTTGAGTTACCTTAAGAGGCTGGGCAGGAGCTTCTGGCTCCCCCCGTGGAGGTCTCAACCTCACCCCCTTAGCTGCAGGGAAGGCTGGGGAAGTATCTGATGGTTTCAGCAGCTACTGCTGCCTCCATGGTAAGACATACCTAGTTATGAATAACTAACTAAAATAAGTCTGTAAGGTGGGGAATTCCCCAACCTAGGAAAGGAGCTCAGATGAGGAGCAAGAGAGAAAGAAGAGGGGATGGGGTGTGGAGAAGAGGAGAGGGTGCCTTTGGAGCAGAAGCCAGCCGTGGCAAGCACACGGGTTGGTCATCGCGGGTGTCCTCCACCACCCCAGGCTCCCTTGCCTCCCCTTGGACTGCTATCGGATCTAAAGAGGCTACTGAAAAAGAGGAGGCGCAAAACAGAGGCATGAGTTGTTCAAAGTCAAAGAACACAATGAGGGAAGAATTAGTCATTTCAGAACTGGAATGAAACTTACAGCTCATCTAAACCAGATGCCCCATTTTACAGAGGAATGAGGCATTCGCAGGCTAAATGACTCGTGCGGGTCCCCCAATAGCTGATGGCGAAGCTGTGAATTCAGACCCCCACTTCGCTTGAGCAGTGACGGGAAGCTGGTGACTTCAGGCTCTGGCAGGTCAGCCCGGGGTGCAGGGGGCGGCTCCTGGGCTCCTGCTCAGCAGGAGGTGGAGGGGGTCTCTCCCTTCCTGAAGCTTTGAGAGCTGGGGTGCTGAGTACATTCTTGGGCTGTTGGGTGACACCATTCCCCTCTCTGAGTCCCCCAAAGGAATAGCTTTGGCTTCCTACAGTTACAGGGCTTCCTATATTAAATCTCAGCTCTTCGAAACACCCAGAGTAGTTTATCTTGTTCCGACTGGACCCCAATTGAAACGGACAGAACACAAGGAAAAGAGCCCAGGATTTCAAGGTGGAACCTGGTTTTGCCACTTACCATTTGTGTGGCTTTGGGTAAGGCATGTAACTTTTCCACCTTAGTTTGTCCGTCTGTAAAGTGGGCATATTCATACTTCACATTAGGTCTATAGAATAGACATTTCATCAGGGTTGAATTTTTTATGTGCTTATATAAATGAATTTCTTTCTTTGTAGGGGTAAATGGGCTCAGATGGCTCAGAAAAAAAATACGCACTCGCACATGATACACACACACAGAATGATTTAGCAAATACATAGACAACTGGTGAGGAACAATTGGTCAGTGTGGGAGAAGAGGATAGAGGTGTTTTTCAGTTTGAAATTGTTTCAAAATAAATGCTTTCAGGGCCGGCATGGTGGCTCATGTCTGTAATCCCAGCACTTTGGGAGGCCAAGGCAGGCAGATCACCAGAGGTCAGGAGATCGAGACCATCCTGGCTAACACGGTGGAACCCCATCTCTACTAAAAATACAAAAATTAGCCGGGCATGGTGGTACACGCCTGTAGTCCCAGCTACTCAGGAGGCTGAGGCAGGAGAATCATTTGAACCAGGGAGGTGGAGGTTGCCGTGAGCTGAGATCGCACCACTGCACTCCAGCCTGCGCAACAGAGTGAGACTGTGTTTCTAAAACAAAACAAAACAAAAAAAATGCTTTCAGGAAAGAAGAGACAGCTGTGCTAATTTACATCTACTGAACTTCAATACATGTGCAATTTAATGCAGGGGATGTTCGTTTACTTTCTATTGCTATGTAGTGTTCTTTTTTTAAAAAAACAAAAAAACACACACACACACACACAGAAATTTTGTGGTTTAAGCCCCACCCCTTCATTAGCTCCCGATTCTGAAGGTTAGAAGTCACACTGCCTGCCTGTGGCTCTGCACAGACCTCGCCCAGCGGAGATCAAGGTGCTGACTAGCTGAGTTCTCATCAGGAACCTCTGGAGAAAACTCCACTTCCCAGCTCCTCCTTGTGGGCACAATTCAGTTCCTGTGGAGTGGGAATAGGGTCCCCATTTCCTCGCTGGCTGTCAGCGGGGTCACTCCTAGAGGCCACCCTCGTTCCATGCCACGTGGCTCCTCCTTCCGCAGGGGCAAGGGCAGGTTGGATCTTTCTCGTGCTTTGAACACTGATGTCTTCTTCTGGGTCCTGCAGGAGAAAGCTCTCTGCCTTAAAGGACTCCGGCCCCCAGCAATCTCCCATCTTACAGTCAACTCATGGGGACCTTAATTCCATCTGCACAGCCCTTCCTGGCAGCTCCTAGGTCAGAGCCGAGCTGAACACCTGGGAGGAGGCGCACACACGGGCCCAGGAACCTGGCAGCAGGCTGCTGGTGGGGGGCATGGGCTCCCCAAGGGCCCACGGTTGGCCTGGCCCAGCCCTAGCACAGCTGGTGTGCTGTGTGCACTCTTTCTGTCATCCTCCCCTCAAAACGCAGCTCCTACGTGCTGCCCTGGCTCTGGGGAAAGGTGATGAATTATCCTTTCTCCTCCATTCAGCTGAAGTTTCAGACATCAGGATTTCTCTCTAGGGAGAGGCTCTTTTCTTCTCTGTGGTGATGTCCCCGACAGAAGAAGAAGAGCGTTGTGTTGATTGTCCCGCCGTCCTGGCAACTCCACAACCAGGGGAGCAGGACAGTGCCCAGGACCCACAGGTCGGGCAGCCATCCCTTCCTTCATAAGGAACGAGGGGCCACAGGGAGGCTGTAGAGTCCGGGAAAGGCTCTTGCCAGCTGTTCACAGCGTCACTTGGGGCCTCCACAGCCCGCTGAGCCCAGGACAGTGTCACAGGGGAGACGGAGGCCCTGAGGACCCCAGAGCCGTCAAGCACGCTCAGCTGTTCCCTGTCCACTCTCAGAAAGCCCAGCCCCTGGCAAATATGCAACAGGTTTATTTTATTTTATTATTTTTTTTAATGTTGCAAAGAACCTTCATATAATTTTTTCCATAGCATCCTGACAAACTCTGGATTCAAGCGGAGGCAGCATTCACCCATTTCTCTGCCGACAAAGCTGGCCTCGGCCAGGGTAGTGACTTGCCCGGATTGCTCAGCCAGACCAGGGGCAGAGCCCCAACACCAGGTCTCCTGGCCGGCGCTGTGTCTCCTCCCGCCTCCATCCTCATCCGAAGGTTGGGACGTCACAGTCCTTGGAGGCTCGCTTAGCTGGGAACTGAGGACCTTCAATTTCAATGTACTGAGTCTTCATGACCTGCATAAGGCCGAGGAGCCTGGCTGCCTCTTTCCCAGAAATTAGTCTCAGTCTCCTGGGCCAAGTGGTTGCTTTCTACTGCATTGCGCTCCTGGAATCCTGGAATACGCTGCTGAATTCTGCAGAGGAAATCAGAGTCATGGTGACTTCAAATTAATCACATAAGCACTCCCAGAGAGAAACGGGATTCTCTGTGGTGGGGCTGCACTTTGCTTGTAATGAGGACGCTTTAGAGGCCAAACTAAACCAGGCGGGAGAGCCAGGCCGTGGGGGCGGGGCGGGGCCTCTGCTCCGGGCACTCCCTTCCTCCACCTGTTTCCTCACCTGTAACATGCAGACAGTGTTCATCAGTGGCCAAATGTGAGGAGCAAATGCCCTTTTTTTTTTTTTTTTGAGACAGTCTCGCTCTGTCACCCAGGCTGGAGAGCAGTGGCACAATCTCAGCTCACTGCAACCTCCGCCTCCCAGGTTTAAGCGATTCTCCTGCTTAACAAAATAGGATTCTCCTGCTTAACAAAATAGATTTTTCTCCAGCTCAGGCTGGAGTGAATTGGCGCAATCTTGGCTCACTGCAACCTCCACCAGGTTCAAGCGATTCTCCTGCCTCTGCCTCCCGAGTAGCTGGGATTACAGGCATGTGCCACCACACCCGGCTAATGTTTGTATTTTTAGTAGAGACGGGGTTTCACCATGTTGGCTAGGCTGGTCTCAAACTCCTGACCTCAGGTGATCTGCCTGCCTCAGCCTCCCAAAGTGCTGGGATTATAGGCGTGAACCACCACGCCCGGCCTGCACCCAGCCTATTTATTTATTCTTAACTTTAACTTTTTTTGCAATAAGCCTTTTGCAGTCCTACATTTATTTATTTTTAACTTTTATTTTAGGTTCAGGGATACATGTACAGATCTGTTATATGGGTAAATTGTATGTCACAGGGGTTTGGCGTACAGATTATTTTGTTACCTAAATTATAAGCATAGTACCCAACAGGTAGCCTTCTTTTTTATTATTTTTTTTAAATTTGAGGCAGGGTCTTGCTCGGTCACCCAGGCTGGAGTGCAGTGGCATGATCATGGCTCACTGCAGCCTCTACCTCAGGCAATCCTCCCACCTCAGCCTCCCTAATAGCTGGGACCAAGGGCATGCAGCATCACATCTGGCTAATGTTAAGTTTTTGTAGAGATGGGGTTTCGCCATGTTGCCCAGGCTGGTCTCAAACTCCTGAACTCAAGCGGTCTGCCCTCCTTAGCCTCCCAAAGTGCTGGGATTGCAGGTGTGAGCCGCCGCGCCCGGCTGACAGATAGCTTTTTGGTCCTCACCCTCCTCCCACCCTCCACCCTCAAGGAGGCCCCGGTATCTGTTGTTCCCTCCTTTGTGTCCTTGTGTCCTCAGTGTTTAGCTCCCACTGATAAGCAAGAACATGCGGTATCTGGTTTTCTGTTCCTGTGTTGGTTCGCTTAGGATAATGGCCTCCAGCTCCATCCATGTATAACTTTATTTTATAATACAGAAAACATCGAACAGTCATTGTTAAGGAAAACTTTGATGACTGTTCCCATTCAGAAATTTATTTATTTAAATGTCCTTGAAATTTTTTCTTTTGGAGACAGAGTCTTGCTCTGTCACCCAGGCTGGAATGCAGTGGCGTGATCTCTGCTCACTGCAACCTCCACTCCTGGGTCCAAGCGATTTTCCTGTCTCAGCCTTCTGAGTAGCTGAGACTATGGGCAGGCGCACACCGCCATGCCTGGCTAATTTTTTTATTTTAGTGAAGACAGGGGTTCACCAGGTTGCCCGGGCTGGTCTCAAACTCCTGAGCTCAGGCAATCCGCCCGCCTCAGCCTCCCAAAGTGCTAGGATTAGAGGCATGAGCCAACGCACTTGCTGCCTTAAAATTTTTAAACTGCATTTATAATATTAATACTTTATACTTTTAAATACTTTAATTTATTCACAAGCATTCTCAAGTGCTTAACAACTAACTCTGGCGAATCTCTGGTTTTTTTAAATGTTCCCATACTGCCTACAATCTTAATAAATTGGCGTTGAATATCTGAGTTTAAATCACAAATCTATATCAATTACCCAATCACATATTTTGAATTGGAATCAAGAGGCCAGTCCATTCATTGCATTTAAAATTACAAGTTAAAATATGCCACATCCTCTTAAAACAGCAACTTCTTAAAATATCAAATATGTAAAGATTGCCTAAACGTAACCCCAAAATATCAAAAGTATGAGTTGGTTTCACACTCCTCTGTGTAAACAGACTTTTCCAGGGTTAAGAGAGACTTATCCGGTAAAGAAACAACGATGTCATTACCAGCAAGTCTGGGGTCCTGTCCCAAGGAACTGAAGTTGCTTATTGACCGGGACAACCCCTGCTCAGGACCCAGAATTGAATTCTTGCCTGTAAAAGGGACAGAAAATACGGAGGCCTGTTGGAGCTCTTATAACAGGAGCTCCTGGCCCCCCACGGGGAAGGGGTCCCCAGCACGCTTGCTTCCAGACCTGCTGACTCTCCTTCGAAGACCATGGTGGTCTCAGGGGGTCAAGAGCCCACCCGTCCAGGTGCCTGGCTGGTTGGCTTGGGACACCCCTGGCCCAGTCACACCTCAATTCAGGTGACAGTCCAGGAGCTGTCAGCAGACCCCCTCCTGGGAGTGTGGAGAATGAGCATTTCTCTATCCTTGCCAAAAAGCAATCTCAGTTAGGGCAGATGCAAGAAAACCACATCATCTTTCTCTCCCTGTGGGGCAAGAGCTAGCTTTATTAATTCTGGTGTACAAATTAGTCATTGCTGTCATTCCAGCTAAATCGAGGTCAGCTTTCTCCCAATTTATGCTGAAATTAGCAAAGACCCTTCTGATTTGACAGTCAAATGGGAAGGGAATTGATGGATCCCAGCACAGAGGTTGAAGGTGAGAGGCTGCAGGCATCCCAGGGTGCCCTGCGCTTCTGTTGCAGTCTTTTTTTTTTTCTTTTTCTTTCTTTCTTTCTTTTTTTTTTTTTTTTTGAGATGGAGTTTCACTCGTTGCTCAGGCCGGAGTGCAGTGGCATGATCTCGGCTCACTGCAACCTCCGCCTCCCAGGTTCAAGTGATTCTTCTGCCTCAGCCTCCCGAGTAGCTGGGATTACAGGCACGTGCCACCACACCTGGCTAATTTGGTATTTTTAGTAGAGATGAGGTTTCCCCATGTTGGCCAGGCTGGTCTCGAACTCCTGACCTCAGGTGATCCACCCCCACCCTCAGCCTCCCAAAGTGCTGGGTTTACAGGTGTGAGCCACTGCGCCTGGCCTTCTGCTGCAGTCTTGATGCCACGTGCTTTACTCCCTGTCTCAGAGAAAGAAAAAATTTTTTTGCTCTTTCCCTAGAAACCAAGAAAAGTAGGTTAATCAGACAAACAAGTGGTAAAGATAAAAGACTCCCCCGCTCCCCACTGACCGCACCACACACACACACTCACAATCACACAGACACACACACACACACACACACACACACACACACACACTCCTCCAGGTCCTGGCTCTCCTCCTACTGCCCCAGCAGCTGAGCCTGCAGCTCTCCCTGCTCCCACCTCCACCTCAGGGGCTTGGACTCCTCTGCCCTCTGCTCACCTTCCCCATGGCTGCCCAGTCATCCCCAACTGGCAACATTCACTGTGATGGGAAGGGCACAGGCAGCTCAAGACTAAGTCGCTTCAGGAAGACGGGAATCCCCCTGTTCACACCACAGAATGAGGTTTCCTGTGTGCAGAGGAGGAGGAGGGCTGGGAAGAAGAAGCTGGAGACAGGAAGGAATGACGTGCAAATGATGTGAAGAGAAACGACACTTCTAAGTCATCAAGAACAGAGTGCTAAGGGGAAAGAGGTCTGTACTAGAAAATGAAAGATTTGGATTACATGGAGAAATTTTCTGAAAGTGAAATCTGTTACAAATAGATTTGGCTGGCCAGGCGTGGTGGCGCACGCCTATAGTTCCAGCACTTTGGGGGGCCGAGGCGGGCAGATCGTCTGAGGTCAGGAGTTCGAGACCAGCCTGGCCAACATGGCGAAATACTGTCTCTCCTAAAAATACAAAAATTAGCCAGGTATGGTGGCACACACCTGTAATCCCAGCTACTCGGGAGGCTGAGGCTGGAGAGTCACTTGAACCAGGGAGGTGAAGGTTGCAGTGAGCCGAGATCGCGCCATTACACTCCAGCCTGGGTGACAGAACAAGACTCTGTCTCAAAAAACAAAACAAAACAAGAAAGAGAAAAAGAAAAAGAAAAAGAAATGGCTTCTGGGATATAGGATCTGCAATGCATGAAACCACAGCCTGGCTTTCTGTCCCAAGCTCCTGCGCTGCCGTCTACACTCCTGGTTGTTCAGGCCCCTCCTAACAGCTGTGTGTGCATGTGTGTGCATACCACGCAGATTGCGTGTGGCTCTGCATGTAGAAGTTCAGGCATCAATAACAGGACTGCTGGAATTATTTTAGGTAGGGAGGCCTCCTCAGTGCACCCCAAATCTCACCCCCTGGGAAGATCACTAAGCTGTTAACATGAAACCAGTGTTGACTGAAAAATGTTCATCAACTTCACCTAATGGTTTTTGCTGATGGGGTAGAATCTTATCTTTCGAGTGTGTTTGCACCCTTCAGAAATGCTTTCGGCTACATGTAAATGAGAACCTGACTCATGGAGGCTTAAACACATTGGGATTTGTTTTTCTCACAAAACAGGAAGGTCTGGAGGCAGCAGCAGTTAATCCTGCTTTGAAGGCTGAATCATGTCAAGGACAGCCTCTGTAGCTCCTGCACCCTCTTCCTCAAGGCTGCAGCTGGGCTGCGGTAGTGGCATCACGCTGCATTTGGGATTCGGGCAGCAGCGTATGTCCCTTTAATCCGGAAGGCTCAGCACTCTCGGAACTCCTCCCCACCCCCAGTGGATGTCTGCTTGCGTCTTCTTGATTAGCTGCAAAGTGGTGCTGAGAGAGAGCAGATGGAACGTTTCTGAAAAGTTAAATACAAGAAAGGGTTTGGGAATGTGAATCGGGTTGGTCTTTTCCCAGGTCAGCCCCAGTGCACCTCTTTCTAGAGAACACACTGCCCCCGCCAAAGGCTTGGAGGGCCACCCTCAAGACCACCTGAGCCATGGCATCCACCTTCCCGAGTCCTGCATATCCAGATGAGGTGCAGGCGTCCGCCTGGGGTCCAGAGGGAGCTCCTCATGATCCCACCAGCTATAGCCCAAAGACTTGTAGTCCATCATCAACACATGCAGTAAGGAATGGTGGAAGAGGAAACAGACCATTGCAATACAATCCCCCTTCAGAAACTCAGAGGATGGGAAGACAAAACGAGTCACACGCAAGATCCCGCTGGAAGGAGCAGTGAGGTCTCCCTGCCCTGGCGATACAGCAAGCTCCCCAGTGAGCCAGCCTGGCACCTCGTATCAGACCTTCCCACTGACTTCTCTGGTCTCTGGGAGGGTCCTCCAAGACCTCATCCAAGCAGGGCCCTGGGCGGGACACCCCTGATGGAGAACATAGGGTTTTGCAGTTCAGTTCTTGAGTATGGGTTCAGGGGCTGCAGATGGCTTCACGGCCTGAACAGACAGGGGCTACTGCTAGCCAGCCTGAGGGCTGCTTTGTTCTTTGTTGCTGTTTTTGAGATAGGGTTTCACTCTGTTGGCCAGGCTGGCGTGCAGCAGTGCAATCATAGCTCACTACAGCCTCGACCTCTGGGGCTCAGGTGATCCTCCCACCTCAGCCTCCTGCATAGCCGGGACCACAGCAGGCATGTGCCACTGCACCCAGTTAATTTTATTTTTTTTAGAGATGGGCTCTCACCGTGTTGCCCAGGCTGGTTTCAAACTCCTGGGCTCAAGTGATTCTCCCACCTTGGTCTCCCAAGGTGCTGGGATTACAGGAGTGAACCACTGCACCCTTTGGTTTCTTGGACAATGTAATTACCTTACACATCTAGCTGTAAATTCCTGGTCTATTCTGTTTGGTCCCATGCTCAAGCAGCCATAGCAAAGGCCTTCTCTCCACACATCATCCAACCTAACACCTTCCCTCTCCCAGAGACTGGCCCTGGTGACCTGCCCACCTCCTCTTCTGTCTCCTGGAGGCTGGCCCTGGTGACCTGCCCACCTCCTCTTCTGTTTCCCAGAGGCTGGCCCTTGTGACCTGCCCACCTCCTCTTCTGTCTCCTGGAGGCTGGCCCTGGTGACCTGCCCACCTCCTCTTCTGTCTCCTGGAGGCTGGCCCTTGTGACCTGCCCACCTCCTCTTCTGTCTCCTGGAGGCTGGCCCTGGTGACCTGCCCACCTCCTCTTCTGTCTCCTGGAGGCTGGCCCTAGTTGCAGGAAAACAGGCTTAGGGCTGCCACTGATTCTACATTATGGTGAGTTGTTTAATTATGTCATTGCATATTACAATGTATCAATAATAGAAATAAAGTGCACAATAAATGTAATGCTCCTGAATCATCCCCAGACCGTCCCTCAACCCTGGTACGTGGAAAACTGTCTTCTACAAAATTGGTCCCTGGTGCCAGAAAGGTTTGGGAACCACTGTTTTACGCTACAGCTTTAGTCTCTAGGTCTCACAACAGGTGAGCATGCAACTGATCATTCACCATCAAGCAGGACCCTGATTTTCCAGGCTGAAGGAGTTGGGTCCCCGCCCCACCACTGGACCTCCTCTTAGCCAACGCCGTACATTAGTGTCTGTCCCCTGGAGCCACTGGCTCTCAGATACCAAATTCCCTATCCGTTAGGTATAGGTCTGTTTTTTGTTTGTTTTTGAGATGGAGTTTCGCTCCTATTGCCCAGGCTAGAGTGCAATGGTGCGATCTTGGATCACCGCAACCTCTGCCTCCTGGGTTCAAGCGATTCTCCTGCCTCAGCCTCCCGAGTAGCTGGGATTACAGGCATGCACCACCATACCTGGCTAATTTTATATTTTTAGTAGAGACGGGGTTTCTCCGTATTGGCCAGGCTGGTCTCGAACTCCTGACCTCAAGTGATTTGCCTGCCTCGGCCTTCCAAAGTGCTGGGATTACAGGCGTGAGCCACTGTACCCTGCAAGTGTACATCTGTTAAGTAACAGAAACCCCAACTTACTGTGACTTAACAAAAAGGGATTTCTTTTTCTTGTAGAAGTCAGGGTGAGCAGTCCAGGACTGGTGCAGAGGCTGGATAATGTTCTAGTCCACCCACTGCAGTGGGCTGGAGTTGCTCACGGTCTGAGCCCTCCCCTGCATCTCCAGGCACCGGGCCCCAGTTCAAGGTTGAAACCAGGGACACAGGAGTCGCAGCAGCTGTGTTTTTCCTTTCACCAAGAAAATGAAAGCTTTCCCCAGAAGATGGAGATATTTCCACTTTCATCTCACCGGACAGAATGATGGCACTTAGGTGCTGGGGAAGTGAGAAATTTGTTTCCTATAGAAGGGGTTTCCCGGAGAAGGGCTGGAGATGACAGGTCACCAGCTCAGCAAGGTCCACAGCGCTGCTCTCTGGGTAGGAGGAGACGGCCTCTGCCGGCCTGCAAGGCCTGTTCAAAACACCCTGAGCCTGGGGTATTTAAGGTGCTTCGTGCCTGATTCCTTACAACTCACTCAGAGCAAATGGTTTAGACAAGCACCAATCTTGAAGGAATTGAAAACACTTTGCTAAATAAAATGAATCATTTCAGATTCCCAAGATTAACTGGCGTTCTGTAGGTCGGCACAAAGTCGTGGCTTTGCCATCTGACGGAGGACGCGCAGCGGTCGTCTCTGGCTGGGTAGACTGAGACCTGAACGCTGAGGGACTTAGGACCAGCAGTGCCGTCCAGGCCTGGCTGCAGACGGTGAGTCACTCTGCCGCTCCAGGATCAGTCAAACTGTGCAAGCCAGTGTTAACTTTTGAAGTTTTGGCGTGGATGAGAGTGTTCAGTGGCTTCAGTGAAGGGTTCACGCTTTGGAATTACAATTTTTTTCTTTTTTTTCTTTTTTTTTTGAGACCGAGTCTCGCTCTGTCGCCCAAGCTGGAGTGCAGCCGCGCGATCTTGGCTCACTGCAACCTCCGCCTCCTGGGTTCAAGCGATTCTCCTGTCTCGCCCTCCCGAGTAGCTGGGACTACAGGCGCGTGCCGCCACACCCAGCTGATTTTTTTTAATTTTTAGTAGAGACAGGGTTTCACCATGTTAGCCAGGATGGTCTCGATCTCCTGACCTTGTGATCTGCCCGCCTCGGCCTCCCAAAGTGCTGGGATTACAGGCGTGAGCCACCGCACCCGGCTGGTTTTTTGTTTTGTTTTGTTTTGTTTTTTGAATCTTCAGTCACCAGAATTGTTTTTGTTTTAGTAAGGCTGTAAAAGCCAGAAAGGGGGAAAAAAGTAATATATTTTCTCTAAGCTCTGAACGTGGGGGTTTCTTGGGCCAAATTATATTATACCTTCATTTGTTTACTAGCATTGTTGTTTACATATTTTAGAATCATATTTGTGTCTTTTTGAATAGGATTTTGGGGTATCTAATACTTTAAACAAATTCTCATACTGCCTAATAGTAAGCTCTTAATAAATCCCTCTTCAATGGTTAACTTCAATGCTATAAAAATATATACTTTCCTGAATATTTCTTACTCTGTGGTTAAGTACAGAGGTGGCATCTTTCAATACTGGAAAAAACAAGTTATATCACTATTTCCTCCTTGCCTAATATTTCCAAATTCATTTGTTTCAAAAAGAAGTTCTGCCTTGAGTCTCTCCTTCCCGTCACGCCCAGGGAAGATAATCTACCCAACACAAATCAGCTCACTATGGGCCACTAAACAGCTCAGCAAATCCGGTGGCACCACCCCGTTGGAAATGTTATTTCAGTCTCTGGAAACAAGTTCTGGGTGTGCCCGAAGGATTGGCATTAGCGGGAGGGGACTCACTTCTCGGAGCGAGAGGCTGTGTGGGAGAGCAGTGGGAAGCCTGAGAGGACATGTGAGCCGGAGGGATTATTTTTGTCATAAAACATGCTTTGTCCAAAGGCTTGGAGGAAAAAAGCACTGGCTTCATTTCTGCACAGTCATTGTTGTTAAAATAGCACAATTGGTGCCATGCAGAAGAATGTGAAGATTCTGTATCATCCTCCTTGCAAGGGAGAAGGTGTTTGTGAGCTTTACATGCCAATGTCCACCATGAAGGCCAGAGGGCATCGGAGACTTTTTTTTTTTTTTTTGAGACAGAGTTTGACTCTGTCACCCAGGCTAGAGTGCAGCGGCACAATCTCGGCTCACTGCAGCCTCTGCCTCCTGGGTTCAAGTGATTCTCCTGTCTCAGCCTCCCAAATAGCTGGGCTTACAGGCACACGCCACCATGCCAGGATAATTTTTGTGTTTTTAGTAGAGAGAGTGTTTCACCCTGTTGGCCAGGCTGGTCTCGAACTCCTGACCTCAAGTGATCCAATATTGTTGAGCTGGATCAGCAGGTGTTAGGCATCAGAACTGCCCTTGAAGGCTGGTATGGTGGCTCACACCTGTAATCCCTTGCACTTTGGGAGGCCAAGGGTGGAGGGTCGCTTGAGCCCAGGAATTCAAGCCTGCGCGACAAGAGCAAAACTCTGTCTCAAAAAAAAAAAAGAAAAAAGAAAAATGCAAAAACCAAAACAACAACAAGAAAAAAAAACAAGAACTGAATGTGTTTTCCTTTGGAGAATGGGACTGGTGGAGGCAGAGTGCTGTTCTGATTTATGAGTATTTGAAGACTTAGTTGATTTTATAATTATGTACAGATATTATTTTGACAAAAACTAAAATTAAATAGGAATGCCAACTGTAAACTTACTTTTCAATCCAAATTTTGGTAATAATTATGCAAAATTCAGTTCAGAATGACTTAATCCAGTTGCACCCTCATAAAATACCTGTGTATACAGCGGTCATCTGGGAGAGTTTATTGAGTCACCATCAGCTTACTTCTGAAGAGATTCAGCGTCAATTATTGTTACTTAGTTCCTTATTCTGAACCTAAGCACAGTACTGCAAGTAACTGCAAAGCATGTCTGCCAAATTATCAGACTTTTATTCCATTTATTCCTTCTGCTTTTTTCCAAGAGAAATGAGTAATAAAGTTCCCTTAGCAACCCCCTTCTTGTCAAGCCACTTCCTCCCCTCATGTGAAACCTGGTTTCAGCAAGCCAGGGACCCACAGGGGTTTGTCACGAACCCGTCCATGGATAGACACTGTCTTAGCTTATCGGAAACCTTATGTTTTCACTGCTTAGACTTGAGCCTTAAGTTGTGGGAGAAAAATGCAACAGGAAGAGAAGAGGATAATAGAGATTTAATAGGAGGTATTTTAATATTGTGTGAGAGTACAGAGGAGGAAAAAAGGGTGGTTACTAAATGAAAAGACCCAGCTGTTATCAAATCTGCAACTTGCTGATACCCTTAGACCATATTTAAAAATGCATTGACCAGGTGCAGTGGCTCAGTGCCTGTAATCCCCACACTTTGGGAGGTCAAGGCAGGAGGATTGCTTGAGTCCAGGAGTTCGAGACAAGGCTAGGCAACATGGTGAAACCCCGTCTCTACAAAAAATACAAAAATTAGCTGGGCATGGTGGGATGTGCCTGTAGTCCCAGCTACTTTGGAGGCTGAGGTGGGAGGATTGCTTGAGCCCAGGAGTTTGAGGTTACAGTGAACTACGAATTTAATAATCTTGACATTTCATATAAATGACATTTCAAAATCTTTACAATATCTTGCTATAAATAAAGTAACGTGTATGGCTCCATCATTTACATAAATCTAGACCCTCACGGCTCTGGTCAGGACTCAACCACCTCTATACCTTAGTTCCTTAGATCAGGGTTGCCAATAAAAGAGAAAAGAGAGAGACCAACCCAGAAATACACTGACTAGTAAAAGTCCCAGAAAGAGAAATACAGTGAAGGAAGGAGGGTCAGTTATCAAAGAACTATCATGAGAAACATTTCCAGAATTGAAGGATATGAATTTCTAGAAAGAGATCATCCCCTGGCCAGGCACGGTGGCTCATGCCTGTAATCCCAGCACTTTGGGAGGCCGAGGTGGGCGGTTCACTTGAGGTCAGAAGTTCAAGACCAGCCTAGCTAACATAGTGAAACCCTGTCTTTACTAAAAATACAAAAATTTGCCAGGCATGATGTGCATGCCAGTAATCCCAGCTACTCGGGAGGCCGAGGCAGGAGAATCGCTTGAACCTGGGAGGTGGAGGTTGCAGTGAGCCGAGATCACACCACTGCACTCCAGCCTGAGCAACAGAGCGAGGTTCTGTCTCCAAAAAAAAAAAAGAGGGTTCATCCCCAATGCCCACCATGCTGAACGAGAAGAGGTCCACGGCATAGTCGTGAAACTTCCAGACAGTGGTTCCAGAACCTTCCAGAGAGAAGAAAAACAGGTCAGCAAGGAGGACACTGACTTTACCAACCGCAAAACAAGAAAATGAGAATGTAGCAATGCCCTCAAAATTCTGAGGGAAAATGGGTTTTAATCAAGAAGTCCACGTTTAGTCAAACTAGCAATTCAGCATGACAGAATTATGATTTTTGTGGGTGGTGGTGAGTGCCTGTGGTCCCAGCTACTCTAGAGGCTGAGGTGGGAGGATCGCTTCAGCTCCTGAGTTCAAGGTTGCAGTGAACTATGACCGCGCCACTGCACTCCAGCCTGGGCAACGGAGACCCTGTCTCAAAAGAAAAATAGAAAAAGAAAAATGCAGAATTAAGATTTTTCAGACATGCATGGCCTAACAAACTGTATCTCTCCTGTATCTTTTCTTAGGAAACTACTTCAAGATAAGCTCCACCAAAAATAGAGAGGAAATCAAGAAGATTAAGACGCAGGATCCAGCGCAACGCTCCAGCACAGGAGAGACCAAAAGAACGTTTGACAATCCACTGACTTCCTAGAAAACAGAAGAGTGGGCTGGGCATGGTGGCTCACGCCTGTAATCCCAGCACTCTGGGAGGCTGAGGTGGGTGGATTACCTGAGATCAGGAATTCGGGACCAGCCTGGAGAAACCCCGTCTCTAAAAATACAAAAATTAGCCGAACGTGATGGCGCACGCCTTGTAGTCCCAGCTACTCAAGAGACTGAGGCAGGAGAATGGCGTGAACCCGGGAAGCAGAGGTTGTAGTCAGCCAAGATCGCGCCACTGCACTCCAGCGTGGGAGACAGAGCGAGAGTCCGTCTCAAAAAAAAGAAAAAAAAAAAAAAAGAAACAAAGTTTAGCTTTCCCATGCCCCCACCCCCCGCACCGTTGCCCGCCGCCCCCCCCCCCCCCCCCCGCCCCATTCATTCTTTCAAGCTGGGCCCAGGGCAACATTAAAAAACAAACCTGTAATCAGTATTTATATGATATGGCATTTTGTGTATTCATCTCAGCTGAGTCAGTTGTATATCATGGTTAATTACCATTATTTTACAACTTTGGAAAGCCCCTCATCTTCCCGCTCCCGGATGGACCACGAGTTCTCCAGGCCCCTGTATGGCTATGGACCAAGACTTCTTTCATGATGACCTTGGGAACTGCTTTCGTCTCTCCTACTTTGGGTTCCCTATTTCCCCGAGTCAATGCCATCTTTTTCTGGGTTTACTCCTTCAGTTGTAGCGAGTTAAAGACTGAATGGAGATGAGGGAGGTGGAAAGTAAGTACAGCCTCTTCTTCCGAGACATCTGCTTAGGAAGAGAGGGAAGGAGCCTCATGAGGATGTATTTAGAAGTATGGAGGCAGAGACCAGCAGCAGGCCAGCTAAAAAGTTAAAAGTAGTTCCCGCGGGGGAGGTGTGCAGCTGGGGACTGTTGTTTCTCAATTATGGGGCTGTGGTGCCAATAAACCTCGCATGAGTAGCAACTCAGCAGGCCCAGGATACGTGTTGGAAGGGGAATGAGGGAAGGGGCAATTCTCCAGGCAGCAGGGAGAGCGTGAGCAGAAGTCACTGCCAACACTCCCACCACAGGAACCTAAGGGAAGGCGCGGCGCAGCGAGGGCAGTGAGAACGCCCCGGCTTCCAAGCAGGAGTCTAGACGCGGTAAGGATTGTGTATACGGGAGTGGCTTGAACAGCTGAGGCATTGCCTTGGAAGATGAGAGGGGTGCACGGTTAAAGCAGGGAGACCAGCGGGAGCCCATGGGCCTACTCCCAGGAGATAAGGGGTCAGAAATGAAGGAGCTCCACTGTATTACCATGAAAGATGGAAAAGAAACAGAACCGGCGGTCCTCAACTACAGACTGGATCTAGATAGAAGGGAAAGTGAGGAATCGAGGGTGATTCTTGGGTTTCTGAGTTAGATGACTGAATAGATGATGCTTTCCCCCAAATCAGAGAGTTTAGCAGGAGAGCTTGAAAGGGAAGAAGTGAGTTAAAGTTCGGGACATGTGTTTGAGGTGCAAAGGGGACAGCCAGGGGATGATGTCTAATAGGCACTTGGATACAGATCTGAAGTTTGGTAAGGAAGACTGGCTGAGATTCAAATACAGGTGAGTCACAGAAGCAGCCCAAGGCCAAGGTAAGGAGATAAAAACACTTGGGAAGAGGTAAAGCGTGAGCGATACTGGCAGGGCCGCGGTCTCCGTCCTCGGGAAGGGAGTGGTTACCAGCGTCAAGTGCCATAAAACGTCAGGAGACTCACCGCACGGCTCTTAGCTGAACTATCAAGGAGGCCTGGTGGAAGCAGAGGTCTAATTTGTAGTCGACGCAGTCCTCATTCTGCAAGTGTGGGCTGAGTGGAAGAGGCAGTAAGAAGCAAGGAGGTGGAGGCGGGATGTTGGGATTCTCTGAGAAGAATGGGGACACCAGGGAGTTGGGGAGTGGCTAAAAATTCAAGGTTTGACCTATTTCCATTAAAGATGGGAGAGATTTGAGGAAATTTATATGCCAGTACAGAGTTTGAAAACGGGAGAGACAAAAGGAAAGTCTTACCATGTAATCCAGCAGTCTCACTCCTAAATATGTACCCCGCTAATGTGAAAACGTGTCCATGAAACACCTGCACATGGATGCTTATAGCTTTACTCATAGCTGCCAAGAACTAGAAGTAATCAATATGGCCGTCAGTAGGTGAATGGATAAACATATGGTGGTACATCCGCACAGTGGAATAAAGAACGAGCTATCAAGCCACAACAAGAGATGCATGAATCTGACAGGCACGTTGCCAAGCAAAAGCAGCCAGTCTGAAAAAAGCTGCATGGTATGTGCTTTCCAGTTACATGACATTCTGGCAAAGGCAAAACTATAGACAGTCAACACATCAGTAGTTGCCAGGAATGCAGGTGTGGAGTAGGGTGGAAATTTCACTACATAGATGAAGCACAGGGGATTTCTTAGGGCTTTAAAGCCATTCTGTGTGATACTGTAAAGATGAATACATTTTATTTTTTTATTTTTTTGCGACAGAGTCCCTCTCTGTCACCCAGGCTGGAGTGCAGCGGCACAATCTTGGCTCACTACAACCTCCGCCTCCTGGGTTCAAGCAATTCTCTGCCTCAGCCTCCTGAGTAGCTGGGATTACAGGCATGCATGCGCCACCGCACCTGGCTAATTTTTTTTTAGTAGAGACAGAGTTTTGCCATGTTTGCCAGGCTGGTCTCAAACTCCTGACCTCAGGTGATCTGCCTGCCTCGGCTTCCCAAAGTGCCGGGATTACAGGCGTGAGCCACCGCGCCCGGCCACGACTAAATCTTAATTTATGTACATTAAAAAAAAAAAAACCAGGCCAGTGGCTCACATCTATAATCCCAGCATATTGGGAGGCCGAGGCAAGCCATAACACCAGCCTATAGTCCAAGGAACAGCAGCAGCTTGGCTAAATGCCTCACCACCAAGTAACGAGGTTCACCAGTTCTTCAGCCCAGGGAAACCGGGTCCTTACCAGTCCCATCCTACCTCCTCCATCTTTCATCTTTCAGGATTTGTCATGTGCAATCCCAGCTATCAATCTGTTATCAGTCAGGGGTCTTAGGTGCAGATTTAAAAATTCACTCTAGCTTGTTTAAGCAGAAAGAAATCTACCAAAAAAAAAAAAAAAAAAGGATTGGGTGCGGTGGCTCATGCCTATAATCCCAGCACTTTGGCAAAAAGATAATTTGAGCCCAGGAGTTCAAGACCAGCCTGGCCACCATGGCGCAACGCTTTTTCCACTAAAAATAAAAAAATTAGCCAGGCATAGTGGCACATGCCTGTAATCCAAGCTTCTTGGGAGGCTGAGGCACAAGAATTGTTTGAACCTGGGAGGTGGAGGTTGCAGTGAACTGAGATTGTACCACTGCACTTCAGCCTAGGCAAGAGTGAGACTCTTGTCTCAAGAAGAAAAAAAAAAAGGAGGCCGGGCGCGGTGGCTCACGCCTGTAATCCCAGCACTTTGGGAGGCCAAGGCGGGTGGATCACGAGGTCAGGAGATCGAGACCATCCTGGCTAACACCATGAAACCCCGTCTCTACTAAAAATACAAAAAATTAGCCGGGTGTGGCGGTGGGCGCCTGTAGTCCCAGCTACTTGGGAGGCTGAGGCAGGAGAATGGCATGAACCCGGGAGGCAGAGCTTGCAGTGAGCCGAGATCGCGCCACTGCACTCCAGCCTCGGCAACAGAGTGAGACTCCGTCTCAGAAAAAAAAAAAAAAAAAAAAAAAAAAAGGAAAAGGCCAGGGACAAGCCGCAGGTTTTATGTAAAGCAAAAATCCCAAACCCCTCCATAGACTGCTCTGCCAGATACCACACACCAGCAGAGGTGACAAGGTCTCTGCCACTGCTGCCCCCAGTGCCACACAACACTGTGCAGAGGAACCCTTGCCAAAGTCAGACGACAGACTCTTCACACAGCTTCTCTCCCACACTGCGGTGCCGGTCTGATCAGAGATCCCAAGCGCACAACCCTACTCAACCTGCAAGACAGGCTGGGAAAGCAAGTTTCTAGTCTCTTGCGGGGAGGAGGGAAACAAGGAAGTTCCCCACACAGAAAAAGGCGTTTCAGGCTGGGCTCGGTGGCTCACACCTGTAATCCCAGCACTTGGGGAGGCTGAGGCGGATCACGGGTCAGGAGATCAAGACCATCCTGGCTAACACGGAGAAACCCCGTCTCTATTAAAAATACAAAAAATTAGCCGGGCGTGGTGGCGGGCGCCTGTAGTCCCAGCTACTTGGGAGGCTGAGGCAGAAGAATGGCGTGAACCCAGAAGGCGGAGGTTGCAGTGAGCCCAGATCATGCCACTGCACTCCAGCCTGGGCGACAGAGCAAGACTCCGTCTCAAAAAAAAAAGAAAAAAAAAGAAAAAGGGGTTTCAAAAACTCACAGATGGGCCACCAAGAATGACAAACGTCTATTACACGGAAACTTGCCAGTTACATTGTAGCTTACATAATTTTTAATTTTTATTGAAATTTAAAATTTTTATATTAGCTTAAATGTTAATATTGAAAATTAATTTCAAATTTCTCAAGTACTAACTTGCAGGAGATTTAGAAATTATTCGACTATCAGAAATTCATTATAAATAAAGCACTAACTGATTAACACAGTTATTTTAAAAATAAAAGACTGGGGAGAAAGGCACACACCAAGCTGTCCTCATGCGAACGGAAATCAAGTAGTATGAGTTGGTTGCAACTCTCTGGTTGCTGACCATGAGAATGTTAGGAAAAGCCACCCATTTAGGTGCAAACAATGTTTTACAAAGCATAACAACAATAAATGCATGCATGAAAGGTGGGTTGGAACCATTAGTTTCTAAAATTAAACAAGCACACTCCGGTACTTGTAAGCACAAACATGGTTTCCACTTGAGGAATGGTATGCCTAATTCCATAGATAACTGAAGTTCCAGGGCTGCTTTTGATTCTGTCTTCCACAATGTTCAATTATGTAATTTACCTCACATTCCTTAACCCCAACTTACTTTACAGAACAGGTGCACTTTTATCATAAAACTCAATTTTATTCAATAAAATAATACCACAAAAGATAAAATGTTATTCTTTTATTTATGTTAAATAAAAACATGAGAAAATCCTTTTTTAAAAAGGGTCAGAATATTCCTTATGTCTCCAAACCAAGTCCATGGATGCAAAGAAATGCTGAGTTCTTGATACACTTTCATGTCATAATAACCAAAGGAGACAGCACGGGCTCGAGTCTTTCAGCTGCCGCTTAGGAAAGTCACATGCAGTATTTGGGAAAGCAAGGAACAGAACACAGGCATGAGTATTTTCTGGAAATACCTCCTGCCCTGGCAATGAACCTCAGTACCAAATATTTTTGTTTTCTTTTTTGTGGTCCTGATAAATTTTTAAGCCACACATCCTACTGAACTTCAATGATACAATTTCTCACAATTCCAGAATTCTATTGGCAGTACAGTTTACTTGGCCAACGTGGATAATCTTATAAATTTTAAAATTACATACAATAGAACACTATTGCAAATTTTGCCAGTAGAAACATGACCCCAAGGAACTGCCATTTCCAAAACATAACTGGGCACACATTTACAATGCACCTGCTAGGTTTTGAATTCATTTGTCATTTCTGATCTACCCTTAAGACTATGCTTGAATCTCTGAAAACAAATGCTAGATTCATGATTTCTATACCCACATACTCCATAAATCCATCACAAACCCTACAGTCTGATTTAGCCTACGGCAAATGATTCATCCAATAGGCCATGGTATGTTCACAATTCTTCAATCTTATTCAGGTTGTAAAGACGTTTTTCTACGACTGGAGTCACTAAGAATTTCTCTGTTAGAGAAAGCATCATTTTCACCTTTGGCACACTGCCAAGATGATACTTTACTACAGAATTTATGAAACTACAATTTAGTAACTTGCAGGCTTTATTAAAAGAAAAAGAAAAACAAAGAATAATTTAATATAACCCCATGTCCCAAAACTTTCTAGTTTTTTTTTTTTTTTTTTTTTTAGTGCAAGAAATGCTGCATCATTGAAGCACTTGAGAATTACCATGAAATCTAACAAAAAATGTCATCAACTCAGGAGTAATAATAAAAAAGAGAAACAACCAGAGAGGCACACAGATTGTTGTTTTTTTAAAAGGATTTTTATACTATATTAAAAAACCACAAAATAAAAAAGGGATCAATCAACATATATCTTAGAAGTCCTTCCAAGAGTCTTGGTATGCAACAGCCATGGAGGCTGTGACCTTTTTCCTTCTTTTCTCAGCCTGCAGTTCATTTAAGGATCACCGGAGATGACTCGTGCTCTAGTTCTTAAAATCAAACTTGTTCTGCCAAATCCAAGACCCTGAATTTGTCCAAATTGTAGAAACATGCTTTTACCACCCGTCCACCAAAATACCTCCCATTCAAGTCAACAACCGCTGAAAGGCAAACAAAAGACAGTTAATACAGGTATCCTATAAGATAAAGGTTTAACTTTAATTAAACAGTAACTTTACTTGTAAAGATTAAGGCTGTAAATTCAACTTTTTTATTCTTTAATATTTAGCTGTACCACTAACCTTTAATTGCTGATTCAACTCTCTCAAATTCTAAAAATATCCGTACTGCTTCATCATCAGGGGCACCAGGAATCTGGAAGAAAATGAGAGCGTGATGAGTAAAGGCATTTGAGATTGCATTGAATGAGTTTTCTCTTTTAAATGATTTCTCAGAGTGGATATTCTAATTATCATCATATACAGTCAAGTAGTTGTCAAATACCAAGGAAATAAGTATAATTTGTTCATCATCAAAAACGTACTGAATGCCTGTTTTTATGACAGGCATTGTTAGGTGCCAGGAACACAGGGCTAGGCAGTCTCTGACCTCATAAAGGCCCTGTGCCAGCTGATGACGTAAACAAATAATTATGTGGTCAACAAACAGCAACAGGATAAAGAAACAGAGGAAGCAGAGCTTTCAGATTAAAAAGGCTGGTGCCCTAGTGGCCTTTCACATCAGGTCTCATTTTGACTAGCTCTGTCTAGCTTTCCTAGCCCTCTGTAATTCCACCCACCTAAGCACTTCTGCTAATCCCCAACAGGCCCATCCATTCCATTTTGGTAGTCCTGATCTTCACTGTCTCCTACGAGCCATTATCCCAATCAGAATACCCTTCCCTGCAAATCCCACCTGTTCGTTTCAAAGCGCAGCCCATATCTGCTATTGCTCACAAGGCAGTCTATTTTTTCACTGATCTAATCCTTTTCTCAACTCCTGAACTTAGTCAATACTACCTAGTCTAGTAACTGAATATCTTTCAGTTATTTTATGTGTTTCTTCAACTGAACACACCACTGAGAGTACAGAGCATGCTTCCTGTAATCCAAGTGCTCTCCGCACAGTGCAGTGCATGTGAGAGGCACTAAATACTCACCAAATGACTGAAACCAAAGGCATGTCTAAGGAACTAAACTACTGAGCACGCTAGAATCAAGGTCTTCAGTCATCATACTGATCCTCAATCATGAAGCATTCCTGTTTCTTCATCAAATAAAACTTGAAATCATTGTCTTTATGTTTAAAACTGTAATAATTGAGCAAGAGAAGTACAAATAACCAACGCCTGTCACCTTCTGCAGTAAGAATGTTACTTATAGCATACCCTGTCCTGTTTGTAGAAAATGTTTTGTAATGTGCCAATTACAACTTGTGTTATAAACATCAAAAGAAAACACTCTTACTTCAAATATCACACATTTTCCAACTTTGCCATATTTTTCACATTCTTCCTTGGTTTCAACTTCCAAGTCTTCATCCACCTCTCCCGCACCAACCATGTTCTTTAAACACAAAAATAAACAAATTCAAGTACCAAGTATAACTTACAAACACCTAGCAGAGGTATATAAATATGACTTAGTGATGGTAAATGTTCTCAATCCCAAACGACATAATGAAAAATTTCATCCCCAAAGTACCCAAAAGTTAGTATTTCTTAAAACACTAAAACATATATTAAGCCTGTAAAGAGTTACAAAAGCATCTATGCAAGCACCAAAATGTATAAACTATCTGAAGCTCTAGCAATTTCAAATATTTAATTACTCACTGCAGTCTTAAACACTGTACTTAGCAAAGAGACTTACACATTAGTGAAAAATCTAAAATCAGCCTTACGTGGGATCTGCCCAAAGTATTATTTGCAAAAGTATCATTTTCAGTTTTAACTTTTAGGGGGAGCAGGGTAGGCTGGGGTGACACACACAAATCTAGGCAGGCAGAGAGCTTGCTTTCCTCAGCTTCTTACCCTTAGTAAGACCACTTTAGTAGGACACTTAAGTATTTCAGTCAGCGGATTTGAATCTGACTTCTTGGATGCATCTGTATCAAAACATACCATTAGATGTGTTACAGAACTGAGCAGCATATCATTAGATGTGTTACAGAACTGAGTCCTACTTACAATAATTAATTTAATTTCAATAGCGATCCCCACCATTTATGTCCTAGGCATCTACACAATTGGTCTCTGAGCGAAAACACAGCCTTATCTGCAATAAAAGCCTCTGCTTTGCTTTGGCATGTTTTTACAATAGCATCTGGATGTTTTGAGCCTCCACCATTACTTGCAATTTTTGCTCATCTCACTTCCCAAAGGGCTGACAGGGCATGTGAGTGATAATTCCTATAGGTGAGTTGACTTGGAGCAAACGTTCAAGGTCACGGGCCCAGGGGAATATGCAGTTACTAATCCAGCCACCGGCTGCCTTACTTCAGATAACCTCACAAGTCGGGACAACTGTTGGTTTCTGGCACTCACCTGTCAGGCTCGTGATGTATCCTAAGCTGTGCATGAACGGGGCTGCCAGAAAAGTTTTCTTCTTTCTTTAGCAAAGGAAGTTCAGCTAGGCTGACTCAAACTTAATTCCCTGATTAAAATGCTAACATATGTTTGTCTCTTTCCTGAATTCCCTCAACACAGAACAGACTGTAAAAATTAAATGAAAATAAAACACCAACTAGGCATCATTTACCAAGAGACTGCAACATAACATCAGATCTCGCAAAGCAAACAATCTGTAAGAGAATCAGAAATCACATCTATACTGAAAGGGCAAAAGGGAAAAGTAGAGACGACCTCTGAGATGGAGATAGCAGGTATATTCACTGCCACACTATATGGCTCTGTCCTTCATGCTCTAAACACATAACCAAGATTTCTTCCTGAGGACTACTCATTTTCTGCCCAAGTCTCTCACCATCTTTTCCTCCACAAGCCTTCATCTCTCTACGTCTGTTCTGAAAAAATAAAGATGAGCCTCAGGATTCCTGGTTTCACAAAACGGAAGTGGCAGTGCATCATATGAACAGGACGGCCTGTGTTCTAGTGATGGCAGGGCCAGCCCTCTCCCTCTGGCCACACGCCTCATTGTCCCCCTGCTGACACATGAGGATCAAGACTGGCCATGTCTGATATGGATGGGGCCAGTCCTTTCCCTCTAGTCACACGCTTCCCTGGGGACACACCTTTCTCTGTGGCGTCGCCCACGATGATCTTGCCGCCACGCTTGCTGGTCTTCTCCACTGACAAGGCAGTGCTCAGGCCCTGCTCATGCTTCCCCAGACCCTGGCCCTCCCGGAAGCCGTACTTCTGCATGATCTTGTGCGCCACCGTGCCCCTGGCAGGAGAAGAAGGGAAAGGACTCTTAGCCTTGACATCGTCAACTGGAGATAGGTTGCATTTTTCCATCACAACAACCTCCTTCTGGAGAGAGTGCATGCTCCACAGGGGCTTCAACAAAGTCACTCATTAACTAGGAGTGGGCTATTAGATGGAAGCTGTGGGGATGTGCAGCATGAAAGAAATAGAAAAAGCTATGAATAAAATCCAGAACATCCTGTTGTCTTGGAGGGGAAATGTCAGTTTCTCTGGTGGAGTCTCCTCAGTGCCCTGCTAGGAAACACAAGACCTTTTGTGTGCTCCGGACCTGCACTGCCACATAGCTTATGACCACAGTTTATTAAAAAGTGGCTATCAAAAAGTAAGTATGAAGTTTCGTACAATGAAGATGATCCCATTTTCCTAAATAGCACAGGAGAGTTTCCAATGACAGACTATACAAATGAAAGAACCCTTAGAGATCACCTATTTAACAAATGAGAAATAAACGGAGGCCAAGATTAGCTGACTAGCTTAAGGGGTGGACTTAGAAGTAATGCAAGACGCCATATTAGAAATTATTTGTACAGGCTGGGTGCAGTTGATCACACTTATAATCCCAGCACTTTGGGAAGCCGAGGCGGGTGGATCACCTGAGGTCAGGAGTTCAAGACCAGCCTGGCCAACATGGTGAAACCTCATCTCTACTAAAAATGTAAAAATTAGCTGGGCATGATGGTGTGCACCTGTAGTCCCAGCTACTTGGCAGGCTGAGGCAGGAGAACTGCTTGAACCTGGGAGGCAGAGGTTGCAGTGAGGCGAGATCGCACCACTGCACTCCAGCCTGGGCGACAGAGCGAGACTCCATCTCAGAAAACAAATAAATTATTTGTACAGCTGTTAATGGTAGAGCTGAAACTGGACCCCACAACTCTCAGTCACTGCTTTCTGTAACAACCAAATGGCTCTCACACTGCGCTCTGAGGCGCAGCATGGGTCTGAAGGGCACCCCAACCCCATGACCACTGCTGCTTAGGGCTTAAGCCACAAAATCCCGCTTCAACTGGAACTGCACCTACATTACTTCTTGTATTTAATTCCCTTAACATTTTCATTTGAACAAGCTATTCTAGGGCTAAAAAGACCAGAAACTGCTGAATGGTACCATCTTGCATCTTTCCTAAGCACAAGTTAAAGATGTAATTCCTGGTTAAAAGCAAATTCGCTAAAAAGTCAGTTTTTATCATAAACAGGGAAAACAAAACAAAACAAAACAAAACCAGCTTCATGTCTGTCCAACCCTCCAGTACACAAAGCTTCCTGCAGCCACGGCCATGTCCTATGTCTGCACCATCCAACATCGTCACCACTTGCATGTGGTCACTGAGCACTTGAAAGGAGACTAGTGAGTTTCAACCCCACTCACTGTCTCACCGGCTGCATTTCTGCTACAGGCAGCAGCCAGCAGATGCAACACAGCACAGAACAAAGCCTTCATGTGATACTGCTTCATGGGACAGCCGTCTCACAGGATCAAAGTCAACAACACAGAATATCCTCTTAACCAAAATGTTTGCCAAGCCCAGCACAGTTTAAAAAAATCCCCAAGCCCCACCTGAGCGTCAGCCTTACAGTCAAATTTTATATGCTGGCAAACATGTCAACTTGTAGTTAGAATGACCCCGAGTTTTTTAGACCAAAGGTTTAGAACCATGACCTGAAAGCAAATGGCCCACTTTATCAGGAAAAAAAAGGTATCACCTGCCCTTTGGAGACAGTAAGTCAGCTCTGATTCATATGAGCTATTTTATTTGCAAACGTTATGAAGGCAAATGTAAACATTAATCAGGTTCTGTGCCTGTCTAGGAAAATAATGTTCAACATCAAAATGAGTCAAAACTTCTACTGGGAGGTTGCTGTTTTGAACAAGCCCCATCATTACACTGGAACACGCTCCACACGATTGAGGCAGGTACCGTGTGACCTGCACACACCAAGGGTCCTGAATGTCCTCAGTTTCAAACAAGCTGCATCTATTGAAAGGGCTATCAACGCTTCACACTGTCTCTCAAGTCCTTAGATAAGAACATTAAATCATTACCCCATGTTAGCGAGGAAGGAGTTGCTAGGTCCGGTTGGAGATCTCGGTCTGTCTTGTTCCTCGTACACTGGGGGAGGAATGGCTGCTTTGGAAGACTGTGATCGAGGTCTTGAGTCCTCTTCATAAGGAAAATCTCGGGGTACTATTGGAGAAAAATAAAGTAGGCTCACCAAAATACTATAGAAAACACTCTGAAACCTCACTTGTATCAATTATTTATCTTGAACAAATTTAACCTACTTTTTGGTTTACCACAAGGAGAGAAAAACACCAAATCAATTTTACAGCCTTTATACGACTTTTTTTAAAACCACAGAGGGAGGACGCTACTTTCCTGATTCTAACTTTCCTTTTGCTATTTCTATCTCCTCAAACGTCTTTTTTATATCTTACTGAAATGTTATTCACCCTTTAAAATCTTCTTGAATGAATATTCTTGCCGGAAAGATGTTCTGTATGTTCTAAGGAGATACAATCTGGCCATCTTTTGACTCCTGCAGTAACTTGGGTGCACCTGTCTAGACCCCGACCTCACTATCTCATCAGCTCATGGCCCACAAAGGTGTCCGAGGTTAGGGGCTACGCACTGGAGCGGTGGCTTCAACCCTAGTTAGATGAAAGTCAGTAGGACGCTTTAAGACCATCCAGATGCCTGAGCCCCACTCCCAGAGACTAGTTTCAATTGGGGTTTATTGTTTGTCTGTTGTTTTCACATAATAGGTATTTCATAATATCTTAGAAATTATCTTCTTTAAAAGATAAAGAATTCAACAAGTTTTAAAAAGTACTATAAATGAGAATATCTGCTTGGGATAGTTTAAGTATGGTCCAATCCAGAGAATGGGAAAATGACCTAGATGATATTCAGAAGTCCAGTCCCAACCCCCAAATTCTAGAGCAGATCACTGCGAGAAGGAACAGTGGGTGAGGGTGTTTTGGCAACGCAATGACACGCAAACCCACCTGCAGTGAAATGGAACGGGAAGAAAAAATCTAATCAAGGAAGGCATTGCCACCTTGTGGAGGATCATGAATATAACAGCCTCTAAACCTCTGAGTTAAAAAACTGTAACGATCTGCTGTTTTAACTCCAAATGAATCTAACAACAAATAAGAAATGTTAATGAAATCAAAGTGAATTGCATAAAAAAGAGATGGATCCCACTGCATGAAATCCAAGCCTCAGAGCCTGGCGTAGAAAGGTCTCTCTCTGCAGGAGGGCGCTGCATTCTGAGATCCAGGTGCGGCCTCAGGTGACAGAGCCAGGCAGGCTTGCAGGCCGTTTCCCTCTACGCTCAGGAAACCTGGGGGCCCAAGCTGAGATCCCCCATGGTTGGGTTAAAGACCTGTATCAGAATAAAAGAGGAAGAAACAGATCTACTTACACTCTTTGTCTTTCTCTACCAGAGAAGTGGGTGGGGCAATGGCAGCTCCGCCCATACCTGCAAAACCACAAATCCAAGCATTAAAGGAGGTTTCCGATGCCAGACTCCCAAACGACTATGACACACCATATATCTATCACCCACCCCCCTAAGAAAAAACTAAAAAAGGAGGACCTGCTACTTCAGATGACCTCCTGCTACATATGAACAAACCTCTGATGCTAGGATTTAAAATGTAGAAAAGTGGCAACACTCCCTCAGATATGCAAAATTGTTCCTTCATAAAAGGAACTCAAGAGCCCCACAATGTAGTCTGCAAATGAATTTTAAGGCAAAACAATACAACCAAGAGAACCAGCAGTTACTTAAAAAGAGAGTAATGTAACTATTTACCGAGAGCAATACCCATTAGGCCCTTTATACACATGGCCTCGTTCAGGCTTCACAGACCTCTGAAGTAGATATTACTGCATCCAGTTTACAAATAAGAGAATGATCAGAGGGGAGTGAATCAACAGAAAGGGAGTAAACCCAGCTCCCTGCGTTGCCATATCTCCCCCACCACACAGCACGCTCCTTTTCCAGTGTGCAAACCACTGGAACTAAACACATATTTGAAAGCGTGGGTCCTTCTGGCTCCTGAAGAAACTGCTGCGTGTTGTCACTATTCCTGGTGTATTTCCTGGACAACGAATGGTGAACACAAACAAACCAAAAGAGATAAGACAGATCTTTTTATCTGGTATCCGACAACTGGAAGGAGAACATCAGTGGAGACCACAAGGAATTTTGCATTAGGCATAAGTCCTAACATATATGGATTACGTATACATAATATTACATAATACATATGTATTATGGCTTAATCAACAATGAAATAAAAACAAAATGTAAAACTTTAAAAATTGATTACAAAGTCATGCTGCATCAGCACAAAATGTTTGACAAAAGAAATTATTCTGGCTGGACGCAGTGGTTCACTCCTGTAATCCCAGCACTTTGAGAGGCTGAGGCAGGCAAATCACTTGAGGCTAGGAGTTTGAGACCAGCCTGATCAACATGGTGAAACCCCATCTCTACTAAAAATGCAAAAATCAGCTGGGCATGGTGGCACACACCTGTAATCCCAGCTACTTGGGAGGCTGAGGCAGAAGAATCATTTGAAACTAGGAGATGGAGGTTGCAGTGAGCCGAGATGGCGCCACTGCACTCCAGCCTGGGCAACAGAGCAAGAGTGTCTCCAAAAAAAAAAAAAAAAAAAAAGAGGCCGGGTGCAGTGGCTCATACCTGTAATCCCAGGACTTTGGGAGGCTGAGGTGGGTGGATCACTTGACGTCAGGAGTTTGAGACCAGCCTGGCAAACATGGTGAAACCCTGTCTCTACTAAAAATGTAAAAATTAGATGGGCGTGGTAGCGCACACCTGTAATCCCAGCTACTCTGGAGGCCGAGGCAAGAGAATTGCTAGAACCCAGGAGGTTGCAGGTTGTGGTGAGCCGAGATTGCACCACTGCACTCCTGCCTGGGCAACAGAGTGATTCCATCTCAAAAATAAATAAATTCATTCTTCTAAAGAATTATTCTAGAAATTATTCTAAAGCCAGTGTCCATGCATTTTGATTAACAGGACTGGATGATATAAAATCCTCAAGGAGAAATATGAACCTGAGTAAAACCTTCTTCTATTTCCTTTGAAATACTTCCATGATCATTTTACTAACCTTGTCACTAGGACCTAGAGTGATTACTGATTCTGAAAAGCAGATTAGCTCTAATAAGTTCAGTTAAAAAAATTCAGGGTGATTACTGGAAATCTGCTACTAATCACATTAAAATAAGAACATCAATCTGTCAACAACTATACATATGATGGGCATGCCACTACCTCCCTATCATGAGCTACAAGGTCAAACAAAGTCTTCTCATTCAAAGCTATCTAGTTCCTGCTGGTGTTTAAGAAAAAAAAACAAATGTCCTTAGTATGGAAAGCATGCCTCCTTATTAAAAAGGGCAGTCAATTTATAAGCTGGAAAAATGAGACCTACAAATATTCAACCTATATACTGAATTCCAAAAGAAGTTAATAAAAACCAAACATTTGGGGATTAACTAAGATAGCGGATATGAAATGTGTCACAATGCCCAAAACAGACACACTCAATGTTAACTATGCTTCCCCCCTAAGAGAAACAACAGAGTGGATTCAGCATCGGCCAACTGGACTGTGCTGCAGGTAAAGACAGTGCAGGAATAGATTTTAAGCTAGTCCCAAAGTATCCAATAAATAAATGTTAGAAAGTGGTTGTGAAGCTCAAAGGAAAATACATATGAAAACCCAATATAAATTAAAACTGTGACGCAAATGTGTATTGCTGGGATTCCAGAAAGAAAATTACCCAAATCAATGTCAAATGAACTATTTATCAAACTGAAAAGAAAAAGCACATAGTGGAATTGCACTTCCAGTATTTATATATGTTTAAGACATATTTGTTCATGCCTTACTTCTTTTCCTCCTCTCTCGCTCATAATCTTCATCTTCATCAGAATCTGGATCTGGTCTCCTTGCAAACCCACTTGCTTCATGTCTGTCTTTACGCCTTCTGTGATAACAAAGGAAATAAATGTTCATCACAGATGAACCAATTTAGAGACCTGAACCTGGGATGACTTCCTCTTGACCAGAAGATATCCAAATCCTGTCACAATCAACTATGAAGTTGCAGGGGTAGAGGGGGTAGGAAGCATAACTGGTAAAAGACTAAAGTAGATAAAAGTATGAAAAGTGAGAAAAATTCAAGAGATAAATTGAACCAATAAGTATACGAGAGCAACCAGCATGAAAAAAAAGGTTCCTTGACATTGACCTCTTCCAATGTTAAAGCCTATCAACATAGTAATAGTTCAATCATTTCAATAGTCTATAACACTTTCACTCATGAAATGATTCAATAAATGGGAAACAGTATATTAATATTTAATACATGTTAACTATTTGATAATACTAAATATTTTTAAAAAGAACTACAAATACATCCTACTACTCGTACTTTGCAAAAACATAAATAAAAGCTGCATATGAATTTTTAAAAATTCCACCTGGCTCAAAAATAGTAAAGTTAAGAAGAATATTTCAAGTACTTTAAATAGCTGTGATTTTACAAGTTGAGAATCCCTTATTCCAAATGCCTGGGACCAGAAGTGTTTCAAATTTTGGAATATTTGCATTACAATTACCAGTTCAGCATCCCTAAGCCAAAATCCCCCAATGCACATTTCCTTTGAGCGGCATGTTGGCATTCAAAAGATTTTGGAGCATTTCAGATTTCGGATTTTTGAATAAGGGATAGTCAACCTATAGCAGAGTATCAGCATAGAAAAAAATTTTCAACATCAGGTTTATAAGTTATTTTTCTAACAACTCACTCAAAATATACACTTTAGGTCTTCAGTCTACAGGTGAAGTTTGCTGTGATTCTGAGATGTAACAGGTACAAATCGTAAAACAGTTTGATTCCTTGTAGTGACTGCTCAGATCACCCATGACAATTAACTTCAGCCTTACAGACAGCAGCGACGCTCATTCGTTAACATTTTAATGAACATTTCAACTGTAAAATATCCCCAAATCCAAAGGAAGCCTTACTTTTCCCTTTCTTCTATTTCCTTTTGTCTTTCCAGCTCCCGCTGTCTCTGTCGTTCCTCTCTTTGGCGCTTCACTACTTTCTCATAATCATTAGGAAACATAGGGTCATATTCGTCAGCTAAGGGAATCAGAACTTCCCCTGCAGAAAACCCACTGGGAACAGGATCCTGAGGAAGGTAAAAACAGCAGTAAGAATCCTCTTTATATCTTACCAGTTTACTCACAGGATTCAGGTCAAAGCGTATGGGAGATAAAAGGACTCTGAACATCATCTAGCCCCTTCCTCTGTTTTAAAGACAAAGAAAACAAATACCAGACAAGGCCACGTGCCTAGTCAGGTGGTAGCAGAAACAGGACACAAAATTTCACCTCTTAGATTAGTACTATTTCTATAATACTCTATGGCATTTTTCCTGGAATTCCTAAATAAGCCACCACCAGCTAAAATATAAGTTACTAGTACTTTGAGTCAAAAAATTAGAATACTTATAGTAAAGCACTGAATACTTGTTTTTATAGATCTCTATGACAACTTAAAAAATAAAACAACCATGAACACCACAATCATTCTTGCAGTCATCATTTTAACAGAATAACTTCAGATTCTGATTACATGGAGATAAGAATATATGGAGATCTTAGAAAGCATCTTCTTGGTCTTTCTAATCCTCTGAACACATGTCCCTTCCCAGGTAGGCTGCATTTCAGGCACTGAGTTTGACACAAGGGGATGTAATGTCCCTTCCAGCATCATAATTTTTTTTAAGGTTCACTAAAATCAGGTTTAGATAACACTTCGTGTTTTCTCGTCTATACATTCAGAAACTTGGTCTACTCTTTGAAAGAAAAGAGGTAGCCATGACAAAGAAATTAGCAAAACGAGAGGCAGAGCACAGCCAGTATACTAGGAAATACATGAGCAGACACAGAACTTTACCCTAGGCTGGCAGCCTCGGTCTACACGTGGTGCTGGAAGCCCTGACCCCACTTTCCTAAACCTTCCCACACTTTCTCCTGTTAGTGTTCTTAGCATAATTCTTCGTTATTATCTGTAACAATAAGATGCCTTCTCTGGTTTTGAAAGACACCTCAAACAAGCACAGGTTAGGATTAGTGTCCCCATTTTTTTTAAAACACACATGCAAAACAACAAGGATTCATGTCCTTGAGCGCCCAGTCTGTACCTCTTACAGGAGGTACAATGTCCAACTGTATCAAAGGCAAGAAGGTCGTTTGTAAACGTGTTTCCTGCTTGAACACAGAACTGACAAAATCAAGACAGCTTACACGCCATATTAACAGACCTAAATCGAACAGTTCCTGTGTTTCATGGTTCGGTGTGACATTTTGCACTATAAAACAAACACTTCACCATTTCCTTACGACGAAATATCAGGAAATGCTATGATCCAATGAATAAGAGCAATTAGGAAAATAACTATAATCACCTCCCAGGCCCTACCCACTGGAAAATGTATTTAATGTAGGGCTCCTAAAGGTTAGTTATACATTTGTATTCATTTTATAAAAGACATTTAAAAAATACAAAAGCACATGAAGATTTCTTTTCAGTTATTATTTAGAGAGAAAATGACAACCAGCCACTCAATTTATCTAACACAATTATCACAACGTGTCTAAGAGAACAAACTGTCAATATGAAGGTTCATTCTCTGACACTTCAAAATTTCAAAGAAAAAAACTTTTACATATAAACCCTGCTATGCTTAACAATGAAATCAATCATCCTTTTCTAAATGCTGCAATGAATAAAGTGATTTGTTCAATTTAAAAAAATTAAAATGTTAATACCCTCAATGCTGAGGGGGGAGGATGGGGTAAAATTCACCCTCATATGCCTGAGGTGATACTGTGCACTGCTGGGAGTAAACTGGTGCCAGAACAGATTGGCCATAAAAATGGCTGATATCTTAATGCCACCTCAGAAAATCTAAGAAAATAACCCTAATTACATAGAAACATCTCTGTAAAGATGTTCATTAGAGGGCCGGGTGCAGTGGCTCATGCCTGTAATCTCAGCAATTTCGGAGGCCAAGGCATGTGGATCGTTTGAGCTCAGGAGTTCAAAACTAGCCTGGGCAACATGGTGAAACCTCATCTCTACAAAAAATTAGTCAAATGTGGTGGCATATGCCTGTGGTCCTAACTACTCAGTAGACTGAGGTGGAAGGATCGCTTGAGCCCAGGAGGAGGAGGCTGCAGTGAGCCAAGATTGCACCACTGCTCTCCAGCGTGGTGACAGAGCAAGACCCTGTCTCAAAAATAAAAACCACAAAAAGATGTTCATTAGAGTGGTATTTATAAAGGCAATGTAAAAGCAAATCTAGGTGGTTTTACAGTTAGGGAATACTTGTGTAAATTATGATGCATTCGCTTAATGAGAATTAAAAACTGATCGTGAAAACTATGTAACAAGGAGGAAAAAGGCTTACTCATTAAATAGGAGACTAATATTATAGGTACTAGAACCAATACACGATTACAGAAGAAACTATGAACCAGTTTTTAAATTAGATGTAGCAGGAATAAACTAGGTATCAAATTTATGGGGGAAAATGCTCAATGACTAGGAATCAGCAAAAAAACACCTCCACCATGTGGTGCTTCCCCTCCAGAAGAACTACCAGCCCTCAGGAACAGCACCCGCTCCCCTCAGAAAAGGACAACTCAAGGGTAAGCTGCAGCCACAGACTGGCCCAGAACATAAGCAGGACAGGCAGGAGACGGAGCCCAACCCAGAACAGTGACGTGAAACAGATGGGCAGGAGTGTGCCCTTTGCCCCAGCCTGATGCAGCCCTTCCCACAGGTGGTGGGGAGGACAGGCGCGCCTTGCTAAGAAACTGTCTCGATAGCACTATTATTAATCTTTTGGTCATTTTTCATCAAGCGGTTTTGTGCAATTCATGATGCTGTTTAAATGACCACAGTCATTATTTGAACGCCATCTGTGGAAAGATAAATGTATACTTAAATTGTGGGTATAATTTTAACTAGTTTATTCACTCATTTTACCTCATTTTGTCTAGTTTTAACTATGATTTTGAGTTATCCTTTTCCAGATCTTCTTCATCCTCAATAACCCAATTTATAGAGTTGACCACATGTTTGTTTTTAAGCATATGTAAAATCACTGGAATCATACAGGTTAGGGTGGTAGAAGTGGGTTTTAAAACCCCTTTCTCTGTTTTAATCCACAATAAATCAGTAAGTACTAACACTGTTTATGATAGCAAAAAATAGAAACAACCCATATATCCAGCATTAAAGGAATTAAATTATAGTCCATCTATATACAAGGGAATATAGTGAAGCCATAAACGTGATCATACAGTCCTGTATTTTTTGACAGAGTCACAACGTATTAAGTAAGAAAAGCAAGTTAGCAGAAGGTGGAGTAGGCACAGGATGGAAAAATATTACGTTTTTCACTTCCGGATTGTATGACTGAAGGTAATTTGTTTTTCTTTCTGCGTATCTCTAGTTTCTGATTTTTCTACAACAAACTATTTAATTTCAAATAGATACATTTTAAAATTGGCAAAACAGAAGTAAAAATTAGGTGGAAAATGATACTAACTTGGTTTCAAAGGCCCACCAAGGAGGCCATCTGTTAAGAGTAACTCATATGCAAAATAAGCCACATGGGAACAGAGACACGTATCAAGCTCACAGGCAGGCGCGGGCTTACCTTCAGCCCAGCTGCTACATGCGGTGGAGTGTCCACAATTTGCCGGTCATCTGAGGAGCCACCTCGCTTCAGGTCAATGACTGGGGCGAGGACTGTACTTTGTTTCGTCCTTTGGCTCTAAAATCATCAAAAACAAGGAAAACATACTGAAGTTTCAAATTAAAATTCACACTGTTTGCAACAAAGATTTTCTTTCTGGTCCCTGCAACAAACCTTTGAGATATGAGAAAACCATAATCTCAAAACAACAGCCTTTTAATTTATTACTATAATCATATATTATTTTCTTTCAGCTTTTTCAAAAACATGAGATTTTCTCCATTTCTGTGAAAGGTTTACAGTAAACTTAGTCACTTTCAAAAGATACTTGGGGATAAGAGTTTTGTTCCCTCCTACTAGGATATAGAATCCTTCCTATCTCCTTTATTATGAATCTACAAAAAAAAGTTTTTAAAAGAAAATCATTTCTATACATTCAATTATTGTTAATGTTCTACCATACTTCTTGCCCTTACACCTGTATTTTTTGCTAGACCATTTGAAAGAAAGTTGGAGACATCATGACACTTCACCCCAATCTCCTGAAACCGTGGACATTCTCCTGTCAGATTACTACCCCTAATAAAATCACTAATTCCCATGTCATTTCCCATCCAGTTCACATTCAGATTCTCCAAGATATCCCAAAAATGTCCTTTAAACAGCTGATTTTTTTTTTGAACCAGGATCCTACCAAAGTTCCTGAAATGCTTTTGGTTTTTAAGTGTCTTGATTAAGAACAGTCCCTCTTCCCCATCATCATCATCACCATCATCTTCATCTCCTCTTCCTTTTTTTCCTCTGACACTATCTTGTAAAATGCTGTTTGTTCTAGATCTGTCTAATAACTACCTGGTTATTTAGTTGAGCTTGTTCCTCTATGCCTTGTAATTCCTGAAACCTGGAGGTTAAAGGCCTGATCGAATTCAGGGTAAAGCTTTTAGGCAGGAACACTTCCCAGGTGAGGCAGTGTGCCCCTTCCTGCAACACACAGCAGGCACACTGCGTCAGGCCGTCTAACAGCAATGCTAAGGTTGATCATATGGGTATGGTGGTAACCATTAGATCTTTTGATTAGAAAGGTTTAATTTTTCTCTTTTGCAATTTAAAGTGTTACAAATTTTCATTACCACTATAAAAGGCACAAAATAAGCCTTCATCTCTCTTGAATATAACAATACTTATAAATTTAAGCAAACAAAATTTAATCCAATTAACAACTCACAAAGTAAATACGAAAGTTTACAGAACGGAAGGGGGATTTATTAGAATCACATATTTTCTTTCTTTCTTTTTTTTTGAGATGGAGTCTTGCTCTGTCACCAGGCTGGAGTTCGATCTCGGCTCACTGCAACCTCCGCCTCCCAGGTTGAAGCAACTCTCCTGTCTCAGCCTCCAGAGTAGCTGGGATTACAGATGCACGCCACCACACCGGGCTAATATTTGTATTTTTATTAGAGATAAGGTTTCACCATGTTGGTCAGGCTGGTCTCAAACTCCTGACCTCAGGTGATCCACCCGCCTTGGCCTCCCAAAGTGCTGGGATTACAGGTGTGAGCCACCACGCCCAGCCAGAATCACATATTTTCTATTATTATTATTTTCTATTCAATATAGAGTTGGCCCTCTGTATCTACAGGTTCCACATCTAACCCCAGGCTGAAAATATTAAGAAAATAAAACAATACAACAAAAAATACAAATAAAAAAACCAATACGGTATAACAACTTTTTACACAGCATTTACATTGTGTTAGGTATTGCAAGCAATCCACAGATGATTTAAAATATGGGAGGATGTGTGTTAGTTACGTGCAAATACCACACCATTTTATATAAGGGACTTGGGCACGCTTGGATTTTGGTATGGGCAGGGGGGTCCTGGAACCAATCCCCTGTGGACACCAAGAAACAACTGTATTTTTTCAAATGGAGATACAAATGAAACCACAGCTTCAAATTTTCTCTACCAAATAAATACCTTTACAGGTTTGGCTAGGCCAATCTAGTATTCTGAGTAACTAAACAGCCTAAGAGAATGCAATCTTCACTTCCCTTAAAAAAAAAAACCCACAAAACTAACTGTACATAGCAATCTCAAAAGTTTTATAAAGTTAGTAGAAATAACTTCACAAGCTACCTCAAGTTTTAAAAATCTATATGAGGCCGGGCACGGTGGCTCACACCTGCATCTTCCCTGCAAAGCAAAAGTTACATGAAATCTACAAAGATTTTATAAATGTACTTTTAAAAAAAATTAAAGAGAAAAACGAGGTTTTGCTAACCCTCCTTACATTTGGAATGAAACCTTGTTTTAAAAAAAACACAAAATACTGGCATCCAAAAAATCTAAATTTGGTAATGATGAATTTTAAAAACACAAAAAAACCTCTCTACAATACTGAACAATCAAATGTAAGCACTTCCATGTAAGTATCTATTGATGTGGTAAAGGGAAAAGAAAAATGAGTAGAACTTTTAAGAAAAAAAACCTGTGTATTGGCCGGACACGGTGGCTCACGCCTGTAATCCCAGCACTTTGGGAGACCAAGGCAGGCGGATCACGAGGTCAGGAAATCGAGACCATCCTGGCTTACAAGGTGAAACACCGCAGGCGCAGTGGTGGGCGCCTGTAGTCCCAGTTACTCAGGAGGCTGAGACAGGAGAATGGCGTGAACCTGGGAGGCGGAGCTTGCAGTGAGCTGAGATCATGCCACTGCGCTCCAGCCTGGGCTACAAAGTGAGACTACGTCTCAAAAAAAAAAAAAAAAAAAAAAAAAAAAAACAAAAAACCTGTGTATTACGGAAATTTTCAAACATGAAATTAGAGATTAATATTAATTCTTAAGTCTCTACTATCCACATCCAGTTTCAACAATTATCAACTCATGGGTAGTTCTGTTCTTCCCTCCCTCCCCTGCCCGGGACTGAATTGTTTAGAAGTAAATCCCAAAAATGACATCATCTTATCGGTAAATATTTCAGTACACATCTCTAAAGTACTTTTTCTCAACTTTAATTACTGCCTCCCCAGCAAGGAGCCTTTGACTAAATTTTCTCCCGCACATGAAATTTTCACACCACAGATACACTGTGCACAACACGAGCAAGGTTTTTTCACCCCCAAAAAGACCAATATTCGCTCTGTTTGGGGGGATATAGCCTCCATTACGAATGCATACTCTAGAACATAAAGATCTCTAAAGTAGTAAACAAACCATAATACCATTCTCATGCCTACATTTTAATGGCAAATATCCAGTCGACAACTAGGTTTTTAATGTTTTACATGTTATTTCAAGGACATTGCCAATACCCAACATGTACACAACAGAAACAAAAGCAATCAGCATCCAGACTACCTATGCCTGACGCCTTCACAATCAACCTGAGCCCTCAATAAGTTGCACGCAGCAGCTTAGGTATTCTGTGGAGCTTCTTCCCAAAGTGCTGCTTCCAAACTACCTCCACCAAACCAGTAGGAATGCTACTTAAAAATTCCCACTCCTGGGGCTCCAGCCTGAACTACAGTTTACCAGAATATCAGGAGTAAGGCTACAAAATTAGCACCTTAAACAAGTTCTCACTCAATCTTAGACCTCCACTACTTAAGTTTGAAAAGCAGTGTCACTGCTGGTTCAGAGTACTGTTTTTTTGTTTGTTTGTTTGTTTGTTTTTGAATCGGAGTCTTGCTCTGTCGCTCAGGCTGGAGCGCAGTGGCGCGATCTCGGCTCACTGCAAGCTCTGCCTCCCGGGTTCACGCCATTCTCCTGCCTCAGCCTCCCGAGTAGCTGGCAGTACAGGTGCCCACCACTGCGCCCGCGGTGTTTCACCTTGTTAGCCAGGATGGTCTGGATCTCCTGACCTCGTGATCTGCCTGCCTTGGCCTCCCAAAATGCTGGGATTACAGGCGTGAGCCACTGCGCCCAGCCCCCGCAGAGTACTGTTTTTCTTCATTCCTACCCCACGAAATGTTCCTATTCCCAGGAGCCAGGAGTAGCAAAGTGGCCTTAAACTCCTCATTCCTCTCCCCCTACAAATGCTTAACACCATTTACCCAATACAAAGGCAGAAGAGCAAGCTGAAACCAAATTCCTTGTCATCCTAATGAGGAACCCACTCTGGAGGCCTCTGCTCTCATGCTCTGGGCTTGTCTTTACCTTTGCCTGAGTGAGAGCTGCCTTCTTCACCTGAAGCTGAGACTGCAGAAGTTTGAAGTTTTTGGACCAGCCTTCTGTTTTTGAGTCACTGGTCTCCACTCCTAGGTCATCGTACAGGGACATCTTTTCTTCAGTTTAATGCTGAAAGGCAAAAGGGGTGGGGATTAAAGAATGCACAATTCAATAAAGGCTTTTCATGTTAAAATAAGTATCATGAAATTTTAGAGGTAAAAGGTCCAGGACCTTTCAGCAACAGAGGCCCAGGCTCCTGGTACCATTAATGTAGGGCTATTCCTGATACATGAAGCTAGACCATGGATTATTTTTAAAATAAGCCTCTAAAATTCATTTTTCCATCTATAAGATCATGCAGTCAAGTGATCCATGAGTGAAATCCTTCAATGCTAGGGCACATAATGAGGTAAGAATTGGAACATTATTAATTACATATATCCAATTTTTAAAAAATTCTATTTATGTCAGTGCCAAAAAGTAGAAGCTTTACAAAAACACCAATTAGCAGGTTGATGTAGCACAATTAGCTACCCTTTTATAAAGAAAAAATTTAAACGTACTCCTAGGGAAAAAAATGACAGAAATGATCTCTTAGATGTGATTTTGTCAATTACAATTATCAAGGGGGGAGTAGACTGGTTACATCTTAAATACTCTGATTTCCTCATATCACACCAAGTGGAAATCTGTCATCTTTAATGATAGTGATTACAAAGAGACAATCAACAATCTGCATGTGAACGAGCAACACACAGCTTCCGTGCAGAACAGAGGAACACGTGGAAACAAAAACCGAGTCAGCAGGCGCAAAGCATGACATGCAATGCAGCATCGGCAGCAGGTCCCATGAAAGCCCAGCACTGCACAGACATGGATGCTGGGGTTTAGGGAATCAATCTGCCCAAGGCCACAGCGGAAGCCCCTTCCAACCCAGCCAGGCCAACTCCAGAGCCCTCGCCAGTGAACCCCAACTGCCACTTTTTAAAAAAAAAATCAACATTCTGAAACCCACCAACATAGCTTACTTCTTCAAATAAGAAATCAATCTCACAGACAGAAAGAGAACTTAATTTAAACAGAAACCCACAAATTGCAAGTAAATGCTTAGCACAGTAGTTCCCAGTTTATGGACAAATAAGTCTGTCAGTTCCCAGGGGGCCCATAAAGCATTTTCCCATGGAAACCGTGTTATTGAAAAGCCTAATTTGCTTGTGTTCTGTGGCTCAGGAGAGGAGGAAAATATTTAACACATACCCTCCTTAGGTCTGATTCGGCAAGCATTTCTCTTGAAGGTACTCTTACTTCTCAGCTCCCCCATTACAGGGATTCTAAGACCCTGCCGCCCCAACACCTTCGCTGATGTTGGTACCACACTGTGTGGAGTGGGGGACGGAGTGCACACCAACTTCTGTTCCCTCAGAAGAACTGCCCTGGTCTTAAGTACAGTAACTCCCTGCCTGAAGTCAGCACCCCAGAAAACTGTCACCACTTTTTAGTTTCTTCCATTCCTTCATACGTGAACCCTCAAATTAACTAAAACCTCTCCATTTTGATTTTTAAATGAAAGGTCCCCGCAAGGCCGTAGAGAAGCAGGGAAAGCAGACTGTCCAGGGGTATTGATGGCCGACTGCTCAAATGAATCACATAAGAATGAAGGGATGGTCAGGCACGGTGGCTCACGCCTGTAATCCCAGCACTTTGGGAGGCATAGGTGGGCGGATCACTTGAGGTCAGGAGTTAAGAGATCAGCCTGGCCAACACGGTGAAAACCTGTCTCTATTAAAAATACAAAAATTAGCTGGGCGTGGTGGTGGGTGCCTGTAATCCCAGCTACTCCGGAGGGTGAGGCATGATAATCGCCTGAACCCGGGAGATGGATGTTGCAGTGAGCCAAGATCACACCACTGCACTCCAGCCTGGGTGACAGATAAAGACTCCGCCAAAAAAAAAAGAAAAGAAAAGAATGAAGGGATGCCGGGATGCAGACAGACTCTCCTCCTGATAGATGTCTTCAGTGCAAAACTGACCTTTTTCAGGAACTTGGGGATGTCTCGTGACAGGCCTGAAGCACTGAGGCCAAATCAAGAAAAAATAATGAACTCCATTCCTTAAGAAATATGGATGAAATATAACCATGTCCTCAAAGTCTTGGAGGGAATCCCCTGATGTCCACTTCAGAGCCTAGTTTAATAACTCTGAACTCCAAGAAAACCTAGATCCAGGTTGTTCTGTTCACTGCTCTATCCCCAGACTAAGATCAATATCCAACCCACAGCTAAATAGGAAATGAGGCCAAACTGCAGTTTATACTCCATTTGCGAAGCCCTCTCAATTAGAAATTTCTGGCCAATAATCACTGGCCAGAAGGAACAACACTGCACCAAACAGCTTTTGAGGCTTTTGTACACTTTTCTTCCAGCTTACCCAGAACTCAAAACTCATTGTTCACATCTAGATACATACCCTTAAATTTTAATCTAAGAAAACTCAAACAGAGCAACAGCACAGAAAAACCATGCTGAGTGTCCAGCTTAGCACTGTGGCTCCCAAACACATTTCTTCAGAAATGACCATGCACCTTTCATCTAACTTAGTTTAATCTTTTGAGCCCTCTTCATCCAACTGGTCAGCAAACCAAAGCCTACTGAACTACAGGTTCTTCTGTTCTTTCTTTATTCTTAAAATGGAAAGGGAATACTAACAGATTCTGAGAAATAAACAATGCGACTTTCTGGGAAATCACAAAGATAAATCAAAATTTGTTTGCAACTCAAACTAAACTCTAGATATTTGCTTTTCTCAATACAGACTATCTCCAGTATGAAAATCTGAAATCCTTCAAAACCTAAAACGTTCCGAGCAACAACATGACCCCAAAGTAGAACATTCCACACCAGGCCGGGTGCGGTGTCTCGCACCTCTAATACCAGCACTTTGGGAGGCTGAGGCGGGTGGATCACGAGGTCAGGAGATCGAGACCATCCTGGCTAACACGGTGAAACCCCGTCTCTACTAAAAATACAGAAACAAAATTAGCCAGGCATGGTGGCGGGCACCTGTAGTCCCAGCTACTCAGGAGGCTGAGGCGGGAGAATGGCGTGAACCCAGAAGGCAGAGCTTGCGGTGAGCCAAGATTGCACCACTGCATTCCAGCCTGTGTGACAGAGTGAGACTCTGTCTCAAAAAAAAAAAAAAAAAAAAAAAATTCCACACTTGACTTCATGTGATGGGTCACAGTCAAAAACAGAGTGAAATCTTTTTGCATGCATAAAATTATTAAAAGTATGACATATATTGCATATTCAGGCTATGTGTAGAAAGTATATATGAAGCATAAATGAATTTTGTGTTTAGACATGGGTCGCATCCTCAAGGTATCTCATTATGTATATGCAGGCATTCTAAAAATCTAAAAATATCCGAAATCTGAAACACTTCTGGTCCCAAGCATTTTGGGTAAGGGATACTCAACCCATTTCTCTTTATAACTTGAGAACTTTACCGAAAGTGTTTATGAATACGTTAGTGCCACCAGAAATGGGTTAACCAAATGCCCATTAAACTTCGAGGGGAAAGATTCACTTATTTATTTTTGCATCTACAATTTCTGTCATATAGCAAGCATTTAATAAGCTTTATTAAAATACTAATAATGGGCCGGCTGCGGTGGCTCATGCCTGTAATCCCAGCACTTTGGGAGACCGAGGCGGGCGGATCACTTGAGGTCAGGAGTTTGAGACCAGCCTGGCCTACGTGGTGAAAACCCATCTCTATTAAAAATATAAAACTAGCCAGGTGTGGTGCTGCACGCCTGTAGTCCTGTCCCAGCTGAGACAAGAGGGTGAGATAGGAGAATTGCTTGAACCCGGGAGGCGGAGGTCGCAGTGAGCCAAGATTGCACCACTGCACTCCAGCCTGGATGATAGAGCGAGACTGTCTCAAAAAAATAAAATAAAAAATAAATAGGCAAAGAGGCAGCACTGGGGAATAAGGGAAGGAAGTAACCCCCAGAGAGGGAGGCAACACTCCTCACCCTCCCCAGAAGAGTCAACTCTGATGAAAAGAGTTCTCTAAACTTTGAGGCTAAAAATCTAGCAGTGTACTAGATCTCAGCTGCCAACAGTTCTTCCATCAATAGATTCAATATTTAGCAAAAATTAAATAGTGAATTAATGAGATTTTATGAGACCACACATCTCCTCTGATTCCATGTCATTTAAGATGGCTGACTGACAATTCCAGTTGATTTGCTGCATTGCGCAAAAGTTTCAGAAATCATCAGGCAGCAAATCTCATGCTCATTTAAAGGTCCTCATTTCTCTTCTCAAACCTGCAAAACGCTTTAAATATTAGAAACTGATGTCATCTTACCAGCACCTGCTAGTTTTCTGTAACATTGAGCTTATAAAATCAAATCTCTGCATCACAGCAAATGCAAAAGTGCTTTCTTCGTTTTTCTCATTTTCACTGAATTTTAAGTTCACAGAATGGGATTAATCATAGTAACATCACACTCTCATCCATTCACACACTTATTACCTGCTTTTGTTTAATTATTATAATGCTGCAAGCACCTGTGAATTCACCACCCAAAACAAGACAGGATCTAGACTAAGAAACCACACTCAACCATACTACTCCCCCAACCCATTCATGTAATTTCCCCGGAATCCTCTTCTCATTATTTCCTTGCTTTCCTCCTTTTATGTTAATTTTATTTACAGTTTTAGTTAATCTATTCCTTAAAAAGTGTGTATTCTTTATTTTCGCTATATTAAGCATTTAATATACAATAGTTTGTTCATTAATTCTCCCCACCGCAACTACTGAAATGTAATAAGTACATTAATAAGACTGCCAAGACCCAAACTTACCCTAATTAACGTTGACATTATTACTTAGACAACATAACACATTTATTTCATTAGGTCTGCTGCCAGGTAACAAAAAGCTGTACTTTGTAACAACTGGATATACCATAAGAAGCCAGGATCAAAAGTAAATACAAATTGCTGGTTTTTATAACTTTAAAATATTTGCTATTTCCTTCCTTTTTGTGGCAACACTTCCCTTTGAGCAACCCACGTTTCATATATGCTACATTTTTTCTTAGGAAACATAACAAACATGGTTCTGCCAGAAGGAAGAATGGTGAGTTTTCAAGATTCCACCCAAGCTGGAAAGTATTTTTTTAAAACATGTGCAACTGGCAGGAAAAAGAACATGGAAGAGTCTTCTCAGAAGCACCCCACCTACTTATCTTTCAAGTGCATCTCAGAAGCCTTTAGTGACTATTGCCCCCACATAAAACTAACCCCCCCCAACTGGTTTCCTCAAGCATACTCAGATCACAGCAACCTTGGCAAGTTATGCTGCCTATTGTTTCACACAGCGGTTTCTTCCTGCAGTGTAAGCCCCCTAAAGGCAGGGGTGTTTCTTATGTTCAGCTTTGTATCTCTAGCTCAGCACCATGCTTGAACATTGTTAAGTGGCTCTATTAATATTTTTTAAATGTGTTAGTGAATGGATGAAAAATGTTAGTGCACCTATTTAAATCACATTATTATGAAACAGTGAGATCTGCAGATCTGCTTTTTAAGCACATAACTTATGATAAGTAGGATAAAATTTAAATTGCAAACCATAATTAAGGAGAAAAAAACTACCACCACCACACAACCAATAACGAGTCAAGGTCTGAGTTCTGAGCACCTAAAGAGGCAGGCTTGTTAGCAAGAAATATTTCTATCACTAAACAGATATTCATGCATCATAAAACAAAGCATGCCTCTTTGAAGCCTAAAGAATATGGCAAGACCGGGCCCAGTGGCTCACGCCTGTAATCCCAGCACTTTGGGAGGCCGAGGCAGGAGGATCACTTGAGATCAGGAGTTCGAGACCAGCCTGGCCAACATGGTGAAACCCCGTCCCTACTGAAAATACAAAAATTGGCCGAGCATGGTTGCGAGCGCCTGTAATTCCAGCTACTCAGGAGGTTGAGGCCAGAGAACCATTTGAACCTGGGAAGTGGAGGTTGCAGTGAGCCGACTTACACCGCTGCACTCCAGCCTGGACTATAGAGTGAGACTCTGTCTCAGGAGAAAAAAATATATGTATATAAATATATATATAAAAATATATAAATATATATAAATATATAAATATTTATATATTTATATACATATATATGGCAAATATACCCAGAAAGGAACAGGAGGGGTGGTGCACTTTGGTGTCCGCAAAAAATACAGCTTAAAAAGCATCTACCTCAAGTATAAGATCTACCATGACTTTCTAAAGAATTAAAAAAAAATTTTTCCCATACCTCCATCTGACGCCCTTGTCAGTTTAATCTTTCCATTCAATCCCACCCTCTGGCTGTTACCAAAATGCCATAGGCTAGTATTGCAAACACAGTCCACTACAGTCACCTGTAATTTAGGCGAATAACAGAACTTCCTTCACTATTGACTATTATGAAAGGTTTGAGAGATGACTAGCCTGGGATCATCTGTTCCCTGCTGGGAGGAGGTCTGAAAAATTCATAGGCAGGGGAGAATGGGAAGGTAAGTTAAAACAAACCAGGTAAAAAGAAATCCACTTTAAATAAAGCTGCATTTGGAAGTGTACAACAATTCTCTCAAGAGCCTCCAGAAAGGCTGCCTTTGGTTCCGCAGAGCTCCACAACCGCACAACCTGCTCTGTTATAAACTGGACAGCACGCAGCACCTTGCTTAACTAACTCTAAAAATAAAGCCCTCTCGTTTAGCTCACTAAACTGTTACCCCATATTCCCTAAAAGCTGTCATTACGATCAAAATGTCTGCAGCCTTTACAACTAAAAATGTGGAAACTTGTGTTGCATCCTTTTAAAAACTCCATCTGCTGCGGGGAGCCAGTGCACATCTACCCATCTATTTGAGTATATGCGAATCTTGCCCTTATCTAGAATATCCTATTTCCCATCCATATGCCTGGCTCTAGCAAAATAAGGACCCTCAATGGCGCTTCTTTACTGCTTCTCAAGAAACCTCCATGTTCTGACCTGACTACTCCTGGAAACACAGCAGCCCCTCCTCAAACCTTTCTTTCTGCCTAACCTGCAGCTTCCAGAACGCACTACGGGGCTTCGCTTCTGCTACTTTCGCACTTACTTCCTCCGCCGGCAGCCTTTTTCCCACCTCTCACATCTAACAACGTACCTTCAAGACTCAACATAAGCATGACCTCCTCTCTCAAGAGAGGTCCTTCCAGACCCCACTTGCGTTTCTCAAATCAACCCGGGCCTGGGTTTTCACGCCTGCTTTCCCAGAAACCAAACTCCTGCAAGCAGGGGCAGAACCTCATTCCACCTGCATTCTCCGATCATTACACATTCTCGGGGCAAGAGGCGAAGCTCAAAGACTGCCTGGGGTCGGACGTGAGCGCTGAAACACCGCTCAAACTGCACGAGCCGAGGCGACGCCGGGGTTAGGGCTGCATTCCTGTCCCGGGCAGCTCCGGAGTCTGAGAAACGCCAACGTCTGCACTCCCAGTTCTGAGACCCCGGGAGGAACCGGCTCCGAGCCCCAGAGAGGGGCAACCGTGCAGGGCCAGGGGGGACACGCTACGGGCTACTCGGTTCTGGTGACCAGACAATTTCGTCAGGATGCGGTGCACGAGACGGAGAAGAAACGCTCTTCAGCACCAAACAGCCCGAGGCAGACATGAGGAGGAGGAGGAGGAAGGGAAGAGGGAGAAGGTCAGGGCCAGGGTCACCAGAGGCGGCGGCGGGCGGAGGGTACCGGGCCGCAGCCGCGTGGAGAGACCAGCGCCCGCCGCGGGGACTGAGACCCTCGGAGGCTCCGGCTGCGCTGGCCCGGCCTCCGCCCCTCGCGACGGGCCTAAAGCCGCGGGCTTGCGTCTAGCGCCTCCCGGGAAGGCGCGCCCGCCTCAGGTCCCGCCAGGCCACCCACCCGGGGCCGCCGGGGCGCCACTTACCCGGCCCGCCCGGCCGACTCTGCCCATGAGCCGCGCCGGCGGCAGAGCGGAGCCGGGCGGCACTCCGCGGAAACCCGCCAGCGGCAGGAGGCCTCGGCGGCGCCCACCCTTCGCTGAGTCCTCAGGGCGCTCGGCGGCGCGGGGTCAGGGAGCGCGGGCTGCCGGGAGAGCGCGCCCGCGCCTGCGCCCCGCCTGCGCCTGCGCCTGCTTCGGCCTCTGCGCCTGCGCCGAGGGCGCCTTGCCGCACTGCCCCCTGCCCGCGGGAGGACCGCACTGCACGCTCCCCTCCGCCGGCGTCTTCTTACCATCAAGAGGTGTCGCCCTGGCGCACATTTTCGAAATTCCACAAGGCTTGGGGAGCGCGGCAGCGCCCCCAGATGGTGAGGAGGAGAAGTGGTCCGAGGCCGGGCTTTCTGATAGGGGAGGTGGGGGAAGTCCCTCCAGGCCCCTCGATCTCATTCATTCAAAGCCACTCCTATATAAGCAAAAAGTTGAAAATAAGTCTGCATAGGCCAGATGCTGCAAAAGGATGGCAAGGAGCACGAGGTTAAGCGTAAGATTATGGAAACAGATGCCGCGATTAGGGGTACAGAAAAGAATGTCAATGCTATAAAGCCTCGGTCTTTAAAAACGACGTCGCTGACAGAAGCAGGGAGGGAAAGGGAAAGTGGGACTTCGGGTAAATATGATTTTTACATCTGTAATTAATTGGGTGTCAAATAGAGTTCAAGCCGATAAATCAAATAGTAGAGATTTAAGCAGACGTCTTAGTCCGAAGGAGTATACCAAGAAAGTTACTATAATCCATTAAAATCCAGTCATTAAGAAAACGGGAAAAGGGGGAAAAAAGAAATACAGTGGAGAGACAAAAGACAATCTAAAGAAATAGAGGATTAAGGACGTCATGGGATGGTATGATTCTGAGGGTAACCCAGAACAAAACTACAAAGCTTTCAAATAATCCACACATACATGCACCCACACATACATGCATGCACACACACACACACACACACAAAACCACAGCAAAAAAAATATATATATAGGGAAATATTTTAAAAAGTTACAAAACAGAAAGCGTAACCAAACTATATGACAGAACAAGACCAAATGTCTCACAAGAAGAAATATAGACCTAAGCTTACCTACTAAAAAACTACAATCTCAGATAGGAGCACAAACCATCATGCAACTCAGTGTTGTATACAAGAAAGTGCTAACGTTATTCTGAGTTTGAAAATACAAGATTGGAAAAGATATACCAGGAATATGCAAAAAAATTAAAAAAATCAGGAATCACAAACCGCTTACTACAAAGTTGATTTCAGGGCAAAAAGCATTAAGTAAGATTAAGAAGGACATTTTATAATCTTGAGGAGCACAATTCACAATCAAGAAAAAAATAGGAAAAATAGGAAAATCTTTGCACCAAATCACATAATCTCATTATTCATAGCAAACACTGTAGGAGTGAGTGAATAGACAGAAATAATTGGCACACTCCTTGCCAGACGAAGAGTACAAAAAGTAAATGGGGATTGAGAAGACCTAAAAATACAATTCCTATGATAGATCTAATATATCAAACACTGTCCCCTAAATAGACATTACATCTTTTCCAGTGTCTAAGGAATATTCACAACAATTAGTCATATTTTAAACCACAGAGAAAAATCTTAACATAGTCCAATAAGTAGAATCATATCGGTAATATTATCTGCAGCAATTCAATAAAAGTAGAAATTAATGAAAAAACAGAAAATAAAACATGCCTACCCCTTGAAAATTTTTAAATGCTTAAATAACACTTGGACTAAAAAGGAAAACAAAATCAAAATAACATAATATCTAGAAAAGTATGAAAATGACATACTCATGGGATTTAGCTCAGAGAGTACTAAGAGGAAAATTCATGGTTTTAAGTTTTTGTATCAATTAAAAACTTGGAAAAAGCTAAATGAATTAAGCACTTGTGCAAGAAACTGGAAATAAAATAAAAATGTGAGAAGCAGAAGGACGTACTTGGTCAATAAAAGAAGCAGAAAGTAATAGCGTGTAAACAGAAAAAGGAAGAAGGGCAAAGATAGAAGGTGTCTAGACTGGGTCTCTCCCCACCCCGTGATCAAAGCACCGGTGGGGGTGCAAAAGCCCTGATTAGGAGGTCCAGAGCTGCAGGACTTCCTCCAGGTTGAACCTGCTGTCTACCTGTACTCCCTAATCTGCTTGGCGTCTCCACTCTGCAGTCTGAGACCACTCCTTCCTCCCTTTTTGGTTGAAAATTTGTGCCTTTGTTCCCAAATCATTCCATCATACATACACAAGTAACTTTTTGGTTTACAGACCATAGATGCAATCACATCCATTGTTTAGGAATTTTCTAGTTTAACTTCCAGGAGGAAAACTGCCTTACTTCATTTCCTAGTACGTGAGCAGTCTCATGCTTGCCTCCATTTCCTGTCAATAGTAACAAATATCATCTTTATTTTATGCACCGAGAATCCAAAGCTTAACCCAATGGGGGAACAGAACCCAGGCCATGCAACTATCAGAAAGCGCACACAAAACGGTGGAGCTTTAGAAGAGGGACAAGACAGACGCGCTGGAGCGCCCCCTCGGGGCTGCAGAGCAAACATCGGTAGTGACTCCTGCGTAAACAAGTCGTGTGATCTGCTCCAGCTGTGCTCAGCGCCTGGCAGGAGGCTGGCAGGCAGCAGATGGTAGAATTCATCGGAAACTGGGAATTAGCAGGGCAGATGTTCCAGGAAGAAAGAAGATAAGGGCGGTGTTTGGGCTGGCAGGAAAGGCTGGGTGAAATGCTACAGTATGCAGCATGGATGGAACCGGGGGACCCCGAAACAGGAAAAGAAAGGGGTGTGGGCCCTGGAGGGAAGACAAGCTAGTTAAGACAATTTGATCAGATTATAATTTGATCAAAAACAAGTATTCCCAAGGATTCTGTGTGTAGGGATGCTTTCGGTGCACCGTGGAGAATGATTTTTGTCTCCTTTTTTGTATCTTTTTTTTTTTTTTTTTTTTTGAGACGGAGTCTTGCTCTTGTCACCCAGGCTGGAGTGCAATGGAGTAATCTCAGCTCACTGCAACCTCCGCCTCCCGGGTTCAAGCGATTCTCCTGCCTCAGCTTCCTAAGTAGCTGGGATTACAGGTGCCCGCCACCATGCCCGGCTACTTTTTGTATTTTTAGTAGAGACGGGGTTTCACCATGTTGGCCAGGCTGGTCTCGAACTCCTGACCTCCGGTGATCCGCCCACCTCGGCCTCCCAAAGTGCTGGGATTACAGGCATGTATATCTCTAAGCAGCTTCGGCCATTTCAGAAATCTTTCCTTCCTTCCTTCCTTCCTTCCTTCCTTCTTTCCTTCTTTCCTTCTTTCCTTCTTTCCTTCTTTCCTTCTTTCCTTCTTTCCTTCTTTCTTTCTTTCTTTCTTTCTTTCTTTCTTTCTTTCTTTCTTTCTTTTTCTTTCGATGGAGTCTCTCTCTTGTTGCCCAGGCTGGAGTGCGATGGTATGATCTGGGCTCACTGCAACCTCCACCTCCTGGGTTCGAGCAATTCTCCTGCCTCAACCTCCTGAGTAGGTGGGATTACAGACGCCTGCCACCACGCCCTGCTAATTTTTGTAGTTTTGGTAGAGATGATATTTCACCATGTTGGCCAGGCTGGTCTCAAACTCCTGACCTCAAGTGATCCACCCGCCTTGGCCTCCCAAAGTGCTGGGATTACAGGTGTGAGCCACCATGCCCGGCCCATCTCACAGATTTTTTAAAGTTTTTTCACTTTTTTTGTCTTTCTAAATCATTCTCTACAGTTATTCCTGCTCTGTAAGGTTTCTAATAGTAAAAATATAGGAACAAACTAGCGAACAATAACAACTTAGGGAAATTCAATTATGTTGAGAGACAAATAATTTACATGGAAGGATCCCATTTTTGTTTTAAAAATTTATAAATATATACAAAGTATCTATAAGGTATTTGCCAATATGGCTGGCTCCAGATAGGGATTATCAGGATTCTTTATTTAAATTTTTTTGCTTGTTTGCCTTTTTTATCTCTGAGTAATATGCTTGCATTGCTTTTGTAATAAAAATAATGAAAGAAGGCTGGGCGCGGTGGCTCACGTTTATAATCCCAGCACTTTGGGAGGCCAAGGTGGGTGGATCACTTGAGGCCAGGAGTTCCACACCGGCCTGGCCAACATGGTGAAACTCCGTCTCTACTAAAAATACAAAAATTAGCCGGGCATGGTGGTGGGCGCTTATAATCCCAGCTACTCAGGAGGCTGAGGAAGGAGATTCGCTCAGACCTGGGAGGCAGAGGTTGCAGTAAGCTGAGATCTCACCACTGTACTCCAGCCTGGGCTACAGAGTGAGACTGTCTCAAAAAAGAGAAAAATAAAAATAAAAATATAATGAAGGAGATCATCAATTTTTAAAGTACATAGAATTTTCTGAAATTTTTAAAGTTTTAATTCATCTTCCACCTAATTGGTGTCTGTTCTGCTTGTTTGAAAATATTTTCATACATTTTTAAATTGCATTGATTAGTTGAAAACTAATCTTTTCAATAAGAAATTTACTTTTTTAAAAACATAACTTTTGTGTGCAATTTATGGCTTTCATATGCATATTTTTTATTTTGATATAGTTTTGAGACAGGGTCTCACTCTGTCACCCAGGCTGGAGTGCAGTGGCATAATCACTGCTCACTGCAGCCCCGAAATCCCAGGCTCAAGCAATCCTCCCATCTCAGCTTCCCAAGTAGTTGGGACTACAGGCATGTGCCACCATCCCCAGCTAGTTTTTTTGTATTTTTTGTAGAGACGGGGTTTTGCCGTATTGCCTAGGCTGTTCTTGAACTCCTGAGCCCAAGTCATCCACCCACGTCAGCCTCCCAAAGTGCTGAGGTTACAGGCATAAGCCTGCACCTGGGCTCGTGTGGATATTTTTTAAGTGCCAAGCTTACATATGCACACAACCTAAAATGGTCAATAAAATGATAAACTGTTTTTATCCTTTCCCAGCTGGGAGGTTCCCACTCTTCAGCCAGTGAGGCCAAGAGCTTCATCTGTGAGTGATGCCTCCTTGGGGCACTGTTATCCTTTCCGTTGTGCCCTTTAGTGCTATCCCCAGAGAACAGGGGCAGAACAGCAAACCTTGCTCCAACGCTTTGAACAGGAGTACAGCTTTGAGTGGCAACCTTAATGTGGTCCCCAACGTGTGATCAGGTTATCAAAGCCAGATCATTGGCTTACGTGGCATGATCGGGAAATGAGTTTATCTGTGATCTGAGGGTTTCGAGGGATTAGTAACCCTTTCAAGTTACATCCTCCCCCTCCGTGGAGCAAAAGTGTTGCAAAGAGCAGTGACAACAGCTCAGCACAGAGGAAAAACATTCCTAGGAGAGTCGGGGAGAACTACTGCCAACCGTGTGCCAGGGGTTTTAGTGTAAATTATCTCACGCATTCCCAGTGACTCAACAAGACCGGTGTTGTTATGCACATTTTTCAGAACAGGAAACTGATCCTCAGAGAGGTTAGGGGATTTGCTGAAGTCGGACAACCAGTGAGTGACTGAACTCTGATGAGGACCCAGGGTTGCCTGACTGAGGTTAGTGTGCTTTTCAGTATCTTAAGCTGCCTCATAAGGGGAATATGATTTAAATAATGAGCAGGACAGCGATGCTCCCACGAGGCGTATCTCTGGCACTGTACTGTTTAGTCCCCCCAATCCCATTGGAAGTCTGCCATTCTTCCCACTCTGACAATAATGTCGTTTAACAAGCACTTCCTATGCACCAGGCTCTGGGAAGAGTGATTTACATATTTTAGCCAATGTAATCCTCCTATAGGCTTTACATGGTAGCTGTGATCATCTCCATTTGGCAGCTTGAAGTTATTTCTCCAAGGTCATAAATACCTGGACCCAGAGTTCCCAGCTTCCAAAGCCGTACTCTGAAATTCCACGCCTTGCTCCCCCAGGAAAACATGGGCAGAGCTCCAGCTCACTGTGACACACCATCTCTGTACAGGGAAACAGATTTGCAAGTCTAAGATAGCATTTTTATTTCTAACAACATTCGGGTAAGACTTGGGAATTTGGGATGATTCCTTAAAATGTTTGAATTCCATCTTGGAATTTCTGAGTCTAGTTTATTAGAAACTCATCCTAGATCTGTATCATAGTTTATTGATGAAGAATTCTATTTGGCTTTGACTGTTACAACCCAGGCTGAGCAAGCGCTTGAGTTTTAAAAGGGAGAAGTTGAGTTGGCCCTGGTCTTTGTCATCTTAGATATCACCTGAAGCCACAGATGGATAAGAAACAGAAGTGTAGACTTGGTCTTTAACCAGAATACGCGTCTGACTCTAGACTACAGGAAATGGCTGCCATATGCAGGCAAAGAAAAACAGGACAGGATAACGCTCCCTGCGCTGAGCACCTCAGGTACCAGAATAGCACAGCCCTGCACAGTAAGAGGCTTACATAGATGAGCAAAGCCAACATTCCCTTGCTTGGACCAATAGAAATGGGATGTGCTCCTGGCTGCTTTTGCAATGCAGGAGAAGTAGAAGAGGCAGTGATCTGGGGGATGAGGAATCACACTTTTGCGGGAAGCAGACTGTGACTGAGGTAAGTAAAAGAAAGAAACTGTAAGCATTTTTGCAGCTGCTGATGGAGTGAAATAAAGGCTAAAAGAACAGATTCTACACACATCCTCCCTGTGTCTAAGAATTTCTGCTACTCTGGACCAGGACCTCAGGATATTCCCTACCCACACCCCTATAAATGGCTTGCTTAGGAAGGAACTGACTCAGAAATTTCCACAAAAATGAAAAAAGGTACCCAACACAGATCAACTCAATGTTAAACCAAAAAAAAAAAAGGGGGGGAAAGTAAAATAGCCCCAGAAAGAGATTGTGATGGAACAGGCAAACACCTGGGCTGAGTATACAGTCATGGATTTTGTTAATATAATAGAGCAGTAACCTCTATAAACTAAGAGCTTAAAGCAGAGATCTAAGGGACAATATGGTGGGAAAAGGAGGTGAGACCTGGGCTGATTGTGCTCAGCAAATTAGAGCAGAAGTTGCTGTGAAAGTAGGACATCAGATAACAGACCCTGCCAAAAACATAAGAGGCCCAGATGGAGAGACCAAGAAAAGATAGCAAACCTCAATGGACATGGACAGTCATAATTTTAGCAAACTTTCCAGGTGCACTGGGATGGGATACCTGGGCAAGGGAGGGCACTAGCTGGTGTGTGATGTTAGGTGTTTGAGAAGTGCGGGAAAATGGTATCTCTAAGGACCATGGAATTCGACGGCTGTTGCTAGGTTCCATTGACGTTCTACAAAAGGTAGCTGTAGTCCCTGCTACTCGGGAGATTAAGGCAGGAGAATCACTTGAAGCTGGGAGGCGGAGGCTGCAGTGAGGCAAGATCACACCTCTGCATTCCAGCCTGGGCAACAGAGCAAGACTCTGTCTCAAAAAAAAAAAAAGGGTGTCAGAGACAACTGGGTGTGTCACTCGGTACGTGTGTCCCAGCACACCCCTGAGCAGTGGATTCCAACATTTTTACGGATGTGGCAGCCTCCAGCATATTATTAAGAGTCCCTCCCACTCTCTGCAGCTCATGTGCCTTATGGGGACTTCCAACACGTTAGCTACTTCGTGCTCATCTGGCCTGGTTGGCAAAATATCCCCGTGATGTTCAGCAGAAGAGCTGGACCATCCAGTTCTCTTCCCCATTATTACAGAGGGCAGGAGAATTAACGTAGGCCTAGGATAAAACTGTGAATGTATATTGTTCCCCCTTGCAGCTATTTCTGATTCTCTTTTATGGTTAAAAAATAAATAGCCGGGCATGGTGGCTCATGCCTGTAATCCCAGAACTTTGGGAGGCCAAGGCGGGTGGATCACCTGACGTCAGGAGTTCAAGACCAGCCTGACCAATGTGGTGAAACCCCATCTCTACTAAAAATAAAAAATTAGTGGGGCATGGTGGTGCATGCCTTAATCCCAGCTACTTGAGAGGTTGAGGCAGGAGAATCACTTGAACCTGGGAGACAGGTTGTGGTGAGCCGAGATCACACCATTGCACTCCAGCCCAGGCAACGAGAGCAAAACTCTGTCTCATAAATAAATAAATAAATAAATAAATAAACTTGGCCAAATCGTAATGCTGCACACAAGCTACCTGAGGCTGTGTTAATCTGCTCTGGTGGCTATGACTATGGCTTCTATTTCACTGATTTTGTGGTAGTCTGCTGTTGTTTTCAGGATCTCTCTGGTGTCTTCCAAGGTCAGACTGGTGAATTTAATGGAAATATGATGGGGACCACCACCCCTGCATCCTTCAGATTAGTAGTCCACCATCTATGACCCACGGGCCAAATCTGGCCCACTTCCTGTTTTTATACCACCTTTGCTCTACAAACGGCTTTCACATTTTCACATAGTTGGTAAAAAATCAAAAGAATAATAATATTTTGTGATATGTGAAAACTGTATGAAACTCAAATGTTGGTGTCCATAAGTAAAGTTTTATTCAAACTGAAAAATGTTCATTCATTCACAGATTGTCTCTAGTTGCTTGAGTGCTGCTATGGCAAAGGCAAACGGTTGCAATGGAGTCTGCATGACCCACGAGGTCTAAAATTTTAAGCAAGTCCTGCTTCAGATCCTTAAGCATGGCACTCATCTTTGCCATCCTTGCCAGCCCCTGGGCTGTGATATTGTCTTTGTTTTTTTGTTTGTTTGTGTTGAGATGGAGTCTCACTGTGTTGCCCAGGCTGGAGCGCAGTGGCACAATCTCGGTTCACTGCAACCTCCGTCTCCCAGGTGCAAGCAATTCTCCTGCCTCAGCCTCCAGAGTAGCTGGGATTACAGGCACCCGCTACCACACCCAGCTAATTTTGTATTTTTAGTGGACACGGGGTTTCACCACGTTGACCAGGCTGGTCTCAAACTCCTGACCTAAGGTGATCCACCCACCTCGGTCTCCCAAAGTGCTAGGATTACAGGCGTGAGCCACCACACCCGGCTTGTGACATTGTCTTTAATTTTCTATCTTGATTTTAGAAGAGGAAGCTTCAGCATCTCTCTTTTGGCTTTTCTCACTATGATGCCTTCACTCTACAGACCAAGGAACCGCCTTGGGGAGTGTGCCAGTTCTCTAGAATGTCAATCCCAATTGCATATTCAGAGACTGGGAAAATGGACCATGAGGTGGGTTCACGTAAACTGGACCTTGGCAAGGAATTCATTATTTTCTGCTCTCTACACCCACAGTCTAACCTCAGATCTCAAGATAACAATGTCAACACTAATTCTTCACATGGTTGGTTATTTTCCTTTCCGTAGGATGTTTGCCCAAGTAAAGGATCACAGGCCCATTTGGTGAATGACTGGGGAGTTATTATTATTATTATTATTATTGGGATGGAGTCTCATTCTATCACCCAGGCTGGAGTGCAGTGGTACGATCTCGGCTCACTGCAACCTCTGCCTTCTGGGTTCAAGTGATTCTCCTGCCTCAGCCTCCCAAGTAGCTGGGATTACAGGTGCCCACTACCACACCTGGCTAATTTTTGTATTTTTAGTAGAGATGGATTTTCACCATGTTGGCCAGGCTGGTCTCGAACACCTGACCTCAAGTAATTCACTCACAGCCTCCCAAAGTGCTGGGATTACAGACAGACATGAGCCACTGTGCCCTGCCGATGGGGAATTATTACACTGGATCCTTGCAATGGTGTTGCAGATTCCTTCCTCCTGGTGGGGAGGGTGGTCAATGGATGCTGGGACCGATCATCGCCTTAGAACTGAATACTGGACAAAGGATCATGATTTTCTACGGGGATGACTCCCCAGCTCACAGGGGAGGGAAAGGCCTGAGCTTGTTTTACATAAGCAAGTTCATTATAAAAATGCAAGCCAAAAATAGACAGCAGATGCATCCCAGCTTCACTGAGGAGTGGCCTTGAAAAATGACAGTGAGAGAAAATCCCTTCAATGGGCAGAGCATTGAGGGGTACACCCAGCCATCCACTCTGTGTGGGAAGGAGACGTGGTTTAAGATTCCAATAGACACCTACTTGTGAGTGGTATAGAAGACTTGGCTCTCTGGTCAGAGATTTGGGAAAGACTGGGTGTGGTAGCTCACGTCTGTAATCCCGGCACTTTGGGAGGTCAAGGTGGGTGGATCATCTGAGGTCAGGAGTTCAAGACCAGCCTGGGCAACATGGTGAAACCCCATCTCAACTAAAAATGCAAAAATTAGCTGGGTGTGGTGGTGGGCCCCTGTAATCCCTGCTACTTCGAGGCTGAGGCAGGAGAATTGCTTAAACCTGGGAGGCAGAGGCTGCAGGTGAGCCGAGATCATGCCATTGCACTACTGAAAAAAAACAAAAACCAAAACAAAAAAAACAAAAACAGAGTGAGTGTGAAGCATGAAGGTCTTTGTATCTCATGACTTTGCTCCCAGGAAGCATCCATCACAGAAGATGCACTAACCAATCAAGCAGACAGAACGACAAAGCCAGCCCTGGTGACACCAGCCAGCCCTGTCATTCATTGGTCACCCAAGTGCTGGCATGGTAGAGCCATGAAAGAAGTGGCAGGATAAGAGACACAGAGGCTGTCCTGGAGCCCTGCAGCATGGACTCCCACTTCCCTAGGCTGATCACACCACAGCCTGCACCACGCAGAAGCTGCCGGCCCAAGCATTGAAATAGTTGGCTAAAGGGGCACTAAAATGTCAACTCAGAGGTGACAGTGTGTGATGGTGGTGCACCATTCTCCAGAATGCAGTATACACTTTGAATCAAAAGCCTTTACGCTGCCGGCCCTGGTGGCTCAGGCCTATAATCCCACCACTTTGGGAGGCTGAGGCGGGCAGATCACTTGAGGTCAGGAGTTGGAGACCAGCCTGGCCAATGTGGTGAAACCCTGTCTCCTCTAAAAATACAAAAAATTAGCCAGGCATGCAGTGAGCCAAGATCGTGCCATTGTACTCTAACCTGGGTGACAGACTGAGACTCCATCTCAAAAGAAAAAAAAAAAAAGCTTTATACGGTCTGACCCCCCCCAGTAGGAAGAACACATGGGTCTGGAAACCAAACGGCATAAGTGGCCTTATCATTGCTCCCGAAGACCCAGCAGTGGACCTTGTGTTTCCTAGTCCTGCAACTCTGGGCTCTGCAGGGCTGGAGGTCCTGATCCCCAAGGAATCACACTTTTGCCAAGGGACACAAAAGTCTCAGTGGATTATGAGTTGCACCTGCAACCTAGGCACCTCCGGCTTTTTGTATGACCCTGATCAGCAGATCAGGTGCACCTCAGCTCCTCAAGTCACTCCTTGTGCCATTTGTGATGCCAACTGGACTAGTGTATCCTTTCTGGCCTAAGAAGGACATGATGACCAGGGACACAGACCCCCCAGGGATGAGGGCTGACCACCCCACCAGGTAAGCCCCCAAGACCAGCAAAGATGGTGGCTGGGCCTGCGGCTCTCCGGGACACAGGGTGCAGGTGAGGATGAGCATCTGCTGTGGCTCAGGGACAGCGGCGGCAGCAGGAGTTGCAGGTCTTCCTTTTAACCTCCCTCTCCTCACTTTCCCCAGAAGAGAGGTCAGCAGCAAGCTGGAGGGCCTGTTTCTTGGTGTCCATGGAGAAGTCTATCCGAGCAGTGCTGAGATGGATGAAAGGGAACACAGAGGTGCCCAACCAGGCCCCCAACGAAGGACATAGCCAGCTGCTGGGAGCTAACAGCAGATAGACTTTAGCCAGAGTTGTATTCTGGTTGGCCTCAGCTGTAGAGAACTACCTCACCCACTTGGATACCCTTCTTCACAGGATCCAAAATGACAGATAGTGGTGGGAGCAGACAGGGTCGGCCATGCCGGCGCACCCCAGGATGACTGACCCGCCAGGTGCTCTGCAGCTCCCATGGCTGGCAAAGGTTGTGTGGCAGTTTGGCTTCTCCCGCTGCCCAGTCCTGTTTCTTCCTTCCCCGTCTTTTCACAGAGGTTGATCCCAATCAGTATCCTGCAATCCCAAATCCATCTCCTTGTCTGCCTTCTGAGTGTCTAGACAGCACTGATGACTATGTATGCAACATGCTCCTACACACTTAGAAAACTCTCTGGACAAATGCACACCAAAAAACTGGTTCGTCTCGGGGGAGGGTAAGTGGGTAGCTTGGGACAGGGAGTAGAGGGGAATGTACTTTTTATCGTTTTCCCCTTTTGGATCATATAAATTTTTGTACAATAAACATGTATTTCACTCAAAAACAAAAATTTTAAAAGTCCAAAGAAAAGAAGGTCTAAATTATTAGTATAAGTTATTGTTTGATCTTGGTATAATGAGTGGGATAGAAGTTAAAAAAGAAGAAATGTTCAAAATGGAAAACAGCAGGAGAGAAAGAGAAAAAGTAGAGATAAAAAGAAGAGGAAAAGTAACAGCAAAGCAGAGAAAAAACATTTTATGTGGTGGTTTGGAACGTTTGGGTAGTGTGAAAAGCTTGCCCTTGGTGTCTTCCAATTTCCCCTCTCAGACCTGCTCCCTATCCTAACAAGCACCACCTCTATCCCCCACAACCTTCCACCATGTTATCTCTTGCTGTCCCTTGGAAGCTCCAAGCACAGATCTCTTTGTTGTTGTTGTTATTGTTTGAGATAGAGTCTTGCACTGTTGCCCAGGCTGGAGTGCACTGGCACAATTTCGGCTCACTGCAAACTCCACCTCCCGGGTTCAAGTGATTCTCCTGCCTCAGCCTCCCTAGTAGCTGGAATTACAGATGCATACCACCACACCCAACTAATATTTTGGATTTTTCATAGAGACAGGGCTTCATTATGTTGGCCAGGCTGGTCTCGAACTCCTGACCTCAGGTGATCTGCCTGCCACAGCCTCCCAAAGTGCTGGGATTACAGGCGTGAGCCACTGAACCCAGCCAGATTTCTTTTTTTTCTTCTTTATTCTTCTAGTGTCCAGACTTTGATTATAATTAATCAATTAATTCATCGAGCAACTATTTATTAAATATTCAGGGTATATTTACAAGGGAAGAATTGTGGTATATATTCCAAAACACAATCATGTTGAGGTGTGCATGAATAACATGACCCTGATTAAGCGTTAGCCAAGACGTTTGATTTAAACATTTAAAAAGAAAACTCCAAAGATATAAGTGTTGGAAATACTTAGAAACTAATAGTGAGCTCACCTCTGTGCTGTCCTGGTGCACAGGTGGTGTGTCTTTACATTGCTCCTGGTGCTACAAAAACAGTTAGACGGCTATTGTCATTTTAAGACCATGTGTACAGATTCCAGCTGTCCAGGATTTCAACATCCCAGGTAGTCACCTATTCACACCTGAGTGTATGCAACTAAGCTGTGCGCTGAATACTTTGTGCAAAAACGCCCAAAGGGGACTGTGGGGTGGAGGGGACTGGGGGGTGGAGGGGACTGCGGGGTGGAGGAGACTGTGGGGTGGAGGAGACTGGGGGGTGGAGGGGACTGCGGGGTGGAGGAGACTGTGGGGTGGAGGGGACTGTGGGGTGGAGGGGACTGTGGGGTGGATGACTCCCAAGTGCACCAGGCAGGTGACTGGTGAATATGCTACAGTGCTCGGAAATATACCAACATACCCCCCACACATATTTATTTTCAGGAAGGGCTAACTGTTGCAATTTCACCCCCCTTTCTCCCAGAAGAATAGATCGTACACCGCTCGGTTGAAATGAAGTAGTTTCATCAGTTCTAACAAATGCGCCACGCTGGTAGGGGTGTTGATAGTTGGGGCGCTGTGCGGGTGTGAGGGCAGGAGGCACAGGGGAACTCTCTCTCCCTTCCACTCGAGTTTGCTGTGCGTCTAAAACTGCTCTAAAAACAAAGTCTATTTGAAAAGAAACCTCGCAGTTGCAGTCCCCACAACTGCCTCCCGCTGCTGCCCCATACCCTCTGCTCCACTTTGGAGCACAGCCTCTCAGATGAGCTGTTGGTCCAGCACCTCTACAGCATCTCCATGCAGGTGCCGATTGCCACGGCCGGAGCAGAGCTCTCAGCTCCTCATAATCCTAACCAGCTCCCTATCTTAGTAACTTATCTTAGTAACTGGCAACATCTTTCACTGAGTACGCAAGCCAGAAATCTGAGTCACGTTGATTCTTCTCTTTTCCTCCCACTCAACCCTGCTGCATCCAATCAATCAAGTTCTGTGGGTTCCACTTTTAAAGTAGATTCCCTAAGTGGTCACTGCTTACCGTCTCCACTGCTATGGCCTCAGACCTCACCACCGCCTCTTCGGCTGACAAATGCAATGACCCCATCACTTCTCCTCTGCTCCCAACCTTCCCATAGTTTCCCATCAACTCAGAATACAATCCCAAACTCCTCACCTGGCCTACAAGTCCTTCACTGACGCAGCCCCTACCTACTTTTTCCACCTGCATCTCTGACCTGGGCCCCTGGCTCATGCAGTCACGCCAGCCTGCTTGCTGTTCCTGGGACATCGAGTCTTTCCTCCTCAGCGACGCTCTTCCCCCAAACAGAGACATGGTTTGTTCCATCACTGTATCCCGGCTCCATCCAATGGCTTTCCTCAACTTCGTCACCTGAATGAGCATCCTCTCCACCCCATCCCTGGCATGATTGACTTACCTGCATTGTTCTTCTCTGTGAGACTCACCATCCAGAGCATTACACCATATTTTCATCTGATTATTTGCTTCTTGTCTGTTCACCTCCTCAGAACTTGAGCAGCATTATAATAGCATGGATTTGGTCTGTCTTATTCTCAATATGATACAAGTACTTATGTACCTGGCACATAGTAGGTACTCAATAAATAGTAGTGGCAACAGAGCACCAAAAATGAGCTCGGCAGAAAATGAAGAATTCCATTATTTGTCTTAAAAAGGCAGACAAGCTAGGCACAGTTGCTCACGCCTGTAATCCCAACACTTTGGGAGGCTGAGATGGTTCAATCCCTTGATCCCAGGAGTTTGAGAGTGGCCTGGGCAGCATGATGAAACCCTGTCTCTACAAAAAATACAAAAATTAGCCAGGCAAGGTGGCACGAGCCTGTAATCCCAGCTACTCGGGAGGCTGACTGGGAGGATCACCTGAGCCCGGGAGTTAGAGGCTGCATTGAGATCATGCCACTGCACTCCAGCCTGGGCAACAGAGCAAGATCCTGCTGTCTCAAAAAAAAAAAAAAAAAAAAGGCAAATAAGTTACTAACATGGGGAAATATGGGTCATAAAGGAGAGAGCTGGCTTTTTCAGAAAAAGACAGTTATTAGGTATCCAACAACAGATAAATGGATAAAGAAAATTTGGTATATATACACAATGGAATACTGTTCAGCCATAAAAAAGAATGAAATCCTGTAATTCTCAGCAATATGGATGGAACTGGAGGAATTATAAAAAATGAAATAAGCCAGGAACAGAAAGTTAAACACTGCATGTTCTCAGTCACATGTGGAAGCTAAAAAGTGTCAGTCTCACAGAAGTAGAAAGTAGAAGGAGGATACTTGAGGGTGGGAAGGGAGATGGGAAGGGAGTGATAGGGACAGATTTATTAAAGGATACAAAATTACAGCTAGACAGGAAGAATAAGTTCTAGTGTTCTGTACTACTATAAGATGACTACAGTTAATAATGTATTACATAGTTTCAAATAGCTAGAAGGAGGTGGGGCGGTGGCTCACACTTGTAATCCCAGCACTTTGGGAGGCCGACGAGGGTAGATCACCTGAGGTCAGGGGTTTGAGACCAGCCTGGCCAACATGGTAAAACCCTGAGTCTACTAAAAATACAAAAAATTAGCCGGGTGTGGTGGCGGGCACCTGTAATCCCAGCTACTTGGGAGGCTGAGACGGGAGAATTGCTTGAACCCGGGAGGCAGAAGTTGCAGTGAGCTGAGATTGCACTGTTGCACTCCAGCCTGGGTGACAGAACGAGACTCCATCTCAAAACAAAAACAAAAACAAAAACAAAACCCAAAATAGCTAGAAGGAGGATATTGAATATTCCCAACACAAAGAAATGATGGATGTTTGAGATGATGGATGTGCGAATTATGCTGATCTGATCACTGCACGTCATATGTATCGAAACATCACTATGTACGCATGAATATGTACAGTTATTATTTGTCAGTTTTAAAGTAAAATTTTTAAAAAGAAAGAGAAAGAGAAAGAAAAAGACAAGTGAGAGAACTAGAAATTCATCCCACACCCACCAGGGATGAAATTAGCCTAATCTCAACAGAGTTCAGTCTCTTCATCTAACAGACAAGGAACAGAATCTTTCATCGCATGTTGGGGAGGGGAAGAATGAGGTTACTCAAACAAAAAGTTTCGAACTTCTCAGAAAAAAAATGAATTTCGTCAATTCGAGATACTGTTAATACCCCATCTGGCCATGATTGACGAAACAGACCTTTGGATTCCGTGAAACGAACCCCTTGCTAATGTCGCTTCTGGGTTCTTCAGACCTTCTTGGCAGGTGGCTGGCTTCTCTGTTCTAACTTAACCCTCCAGATGTCACATGAAAAAAGTATGCTTGTTATGAAATAATCCTCTGGCTTCATTACCCAGGAAGTCCCTGCTTTGTTTTTGGTCTTTGTTTTTATTTTCTCAAGCTCTGACAGAAGTTTCTGGGGGAAACTGTGGGTCTTTATGGATGAGGGTGAAGTTGTTTAGAAACTAAAATAAACAAGATACTGTATTTTCTTCCTCACGCTCTCTTGCTCATGCACTCAGAAGACAAAGGTACCCCCTTCAGTTCCCAGAAGCTGGTCTGCTCTTTTTTGTTTGTTTTAATTGTAGAGACACGGTCTCGCTCTGTGCCTAGGCTGGAGTGCAGTGGCACAATCGGTAGCTCACTGCAGCCTCAACCTTCCAGGCTCAAGGATCCTGCCACCTCAGCCTGCTGAGTAGCCGGGACTACTGGCACGCACCAACACACCCAGCTAATTTTTAATTTTTTTCTAGAGAATCTGGTCTCACTATGTTGCCTAGGCTGGTCTCAAATTCCTGGTCCCAAGCAATCCTCCTGCCTTAGCTTCCCAAAGTGCTGGGATTACAGGTGTGAGCCCCCACACCCAGCCCACTTCCGCTCTTAGGGAGAGGCGAGTGCATTTCAGAGAGCACTCGATGCTCCCAAAAGAAGAAGTTGACAGAGCCCACGTCCCCTCAGCCCTTCACACAGCCTCCCCTTGTCTTCCTCTCCTACTCAGCACTGTGGCTGCACTAGGACCCCTCATGATGACCAAGATCCTCATAAAGAGGACAAGAAGTTCATCCAGTACCAGTCAGGCCAATATCCCAAAATTAGCATAACTGGCAGAAATGCAGAGGCATCAACAACTCCTCTTGACAACAGGGTTGGTAGAAGAATCAAGGGCCTAATTTTGATGCCTGGCACAGGTTATGGGAGCAGCAGAGTACATGCTGCCCAGCGGCTTCCAGAAGCTCCTGGTCCACCCCGTCAAGAAGCCGGAGGTCCTGCTGAGGTGCAACACATCTCAGTGTGCTGAGACTGCCCTCAATGTTGCCCCCAAGAACTGCAAAGCCATCCTGGAAACAGTGGCCCAGCTGCCCATTGGAGTCACCAATCCCAGTGCCAAGCTGTGCAGCAAAGAAAAGGATTAGACTGCTCATGTGCACGTTTTATTTGTTTTTAAATTAAAAAACAAAAAAAAGAAAGAAGGAGGAAGTGGAGGAAGAGGAAGGAGGAGGGAGGAGGAGGAGGAATTTACATCAGCAGGCCGATCACATACTAGTCCTTGAATTCATGGTTGAATGTACTGACCATTCTCCCTACGGACACTTGAAGGTTTCCATCAAACCCTTCATAACATATTGCATAATTGTGGACTCTAGACTTGGGCCACAACTGAGTGATTTTTTTTTTCTCAAACCCAATTCCACAAAGTAAAAGCCTGATGAAATACAGTGAAGGCTGATGCCTTATTAACTGTGTTTCCCAAATCCAGAGCTCTAAAAAGGTTCTGCATACAGTCATTCATTCAATGCTTAACGACTGAGCATTAATTCCATGCTAAGTACTGAACTCAGCACTAGGAATAAGAAGGCGACCTAGAGGCATATCCTCTCTCTAAAGATGCATAGAGCCTCATTGGAATGATCAGCCGTGTCTCCAGAGAGCTACAAGGCAGTTTTCAATTGGTAAATGCCCTGAGAGTGATGGGCTTGTGGCATGTGTAAGGGTTAGACAGACCTGGGACCTAGACATGACACCACTCCTGACGAATTATGTGAGTGTGGGTGTTTCACAACCACAATGAGATGCAATGCCTGCACTTGTAACATGGAAATAGTGATGGCATGCCGGCCCCGCCAGATTGCTGTGAGAAGTCAGCGGCAGAGACATGCAACATTCTCAGCACAGTGCTTGCCATGTAGTAAGGGCCTAGTCAGTGCTAGTGATTCCTTTCAATATTCCTAAGATGCAGATAAGGGAACAGCCCAGAGGAGGGGGAGCACTTCCAGAGGGAGGGATGCGGTGAGACTTCCTTCAGCAGGGTAGCACTGG